>NC_000004.12:114527441-114678956 GCF_000001405.40 Homo sapiens
AACCAGACACCAGATCACTAAGGAGAAGTTTATATAAAATAGAAGATATTGTCATTTTGAAGCAGGTTCATTGTATACCAGTTACAAACTTGTCTGAGTCCCATGAAACAGAACACTCACATATGTAACAAGTTACATGAAGATCTATTATTTACAGATAGGCAGCAAGAGAAAACAGATGCCTGGGATTCATTGTGAGCTGGTTCCACAACGTCTAGAAAGCTGTCTGGGGCAGATTAGGTTTCATCTTCAAGTGCCCCACTTGCATTACAGCTGAGGGACCCTGGAAAGCAGCTTGCCTTGGATTTTATACTCCAGGATTATAGGACATGCTAGGCTAAAGTGCTGAAGGACATCCTATTGTCAGGAGTACTGGAACAGGGCCCAGGCTGTTCTGGCCAGTCCCACCCTATTTCAGGATGTTACATTTCCAGCTCATTTTACAGTTATTCTTGAAAATTATAAGTGAGAAAGGGAGGGAACGTGGGTTGCTCCAAAGTAAGCTGGAGAACTGCCCTGCAGTCATTATCTTGAAGATTAAATTTGATGAGATAGGACAAATATAATCATGTGATACAAAGAGACATGTAAAACCAACTGAAAGCCAGTCTAAACTGAAAACTTCAGAAATGGCTTTTAAAGGAGTATTCACTGAAGTTATAAGAATCAAGGAGTCTCACTTCAGGTAATAACGTGATGGATGGCAGGTGACTGATGAGACAGAGAGAGCTGCATTTTCAAAAATGCTACACTGACACCTGACAATTGAATGGTCTAATAGAGACTGTGATATCACTGTCTGACTTTTGTACTGTCAAAATTTCAATACAATGTATTATAATGTAATGGACATAGAAATGGGAATCAGAAGACCTTTACATTTTAGGGTATTGCCATAAGGCAATTCACAGTCTCTGGGGTCTTGGGCAAAGGACTAAAGTGTCTAAGAGTCTTTCAGCTCTGTAACTCTGTGATTCTGTGAGTACAATTTACCTAAAAGCACCCCAAAAAATATACTGGCATCAAATTATAGAATTTTAAATGAATGCTTTATTGTCACATAGTGAAACGTTTAAGAACGTTCTTTATCTGCATTTTTTTCCTTAAAAAGTTTCTAATAATAATTGGAGAGTTCTCTTGATATTTTAATTTGTTTATCCTTTGTCAAAACAAAACCAACCATGCATTGCTACACAGTTAAGAAAAGTGGTGAATGGATGTTTGAGGCAATCTGACTCATAAGTCCATTCTGAGAGCTGAGTTAGATCTTCATCTGTGTGAGCATATATCCTGTGTAAGGAGTCGTGGAACACATGGAGAAATATAATGATACTGTCCATTTCATTTTTCTACATAAAGATGCCTGTCTGATTGGGATAAGAGCCTCATGTGGCTTACTTTTACTATGATAAGGAGAGCTCTGAGGCTAGGCTGGAGTGCTCAAGCAGCTCTCAGGGACTACTACAGCCCTACAGGATGGAAATGGGTAGAGAATAGAGCTGACACCTGAGCACAATCTGCCTCCCTCTTTGGCACATTATGTCCACAGAGGCTTATTAGCAACAAAGGAAAGAACGGGCAGGCACCTTGGGAATGAAGTGACTTGCCACATGCTTCACAACTGATGTGGTTTGGCTATGTCCCTACCCAAATCTCATCTTGAATTGTAGTTATTATAATCCCCACGTGTCACGGGAGGGGCCTGGTGGGAGACAGTTTAATCATGAGGGTGGTAACCCTCATGTTTTTGTCATGATAGTGAGTTCTTACAAGATCTGATGTGTTTTTTTGTTTGCTTGCTTGTTTGTTGTTTGAGATGGAGTTTCGCTCTTGTTGCCCAGGCTGGAGTGCAATGGCACGATCTCGGCTCACCACAACCTCTGCCTCCTGGGTTCAAGCGATTCTCCTGCCTCAGCCTCCTGAGTAGCTGGGATTACAGGCATGCACCACCATGCCTGGCTAATTTTGTATTTTTAGTAGAGATGGGGTTTCTCCATGCTGGCCAGGCTGACCTCGAACTCCCAACCTCAGGTGACTGCCCGCTTCAGTCTCCCAAAGTGCTGGGATTACAGGTGTGAGCCACCGCACCTGGCACCAAGATCTGATGGTTTTATAAGTGACTTTTCCCCCTTTTTCTCTGCACTTCTCCTTGCTGCTGCCATGTGAAGAAGCATGTATTTGCTTCTTTCACCATGATTGTAAGTTTCCTGAGGTCTCCCAGCCCTGTGGAACTGTGAGTCAATTAAACCTCTTTCCTCTATAAATTACACAGTCTCAGGTAAGTCCTTACAGGAGTGTAAGGATGAACTAATACAGTAAATTGGCACTGGAGTGGGGTGCTGCTGTAAAGATACCCGAACATGTGAAAGTGACTTTGGAACTAGGTAACAGGCAGAGGTTGGAAGAGTTTGGAGGACTGAGAAGAAGACAGGAAAACGTGGGAATGTTTGGAACTTCCTGGAGACTTGGAGTGCTCAGAAGACAGGAAGGTATGGGTGAGTTTGAAACATCCTAGAGACTTGGATGGCTCAGAAGACAGGAAAATGAGGGAAAGTTTAGAACTTTCTAGAGATTTGTTGAATGATTTTGACCAAAATGCTGATAGTGATATGGACAATAAAGTCCAGGCTGAAGTGGTCTCAGATGGAGATGAAGAATTAGGTGGGAACTGAAGTAAAGGTTACTCTTTCTATGCAAAGAGACTGGCAGCATTTTGCTTCTGCCCTAGAGATCTGTGGAACTCTAAACTTGAGAGAGATAATTTAGGGTATCTCGTGGAAGAAATTTCTAAGTGAGAAAGTGTTCAAGTGGAAATAGAGCATGAAAGTTTGAAAAATTTGCAGCCTAACAATGTAATAGAAAAGAAAAACCCATTTTCTGGGGAGAAATTCAAGCCAGCTGCATAAATTTTCATAAGTAATGAGGAGCCAAATGCTAATCACCAAGACAGTGGAGAAAATGTCTCCATGGTATGTCGGAAACTTTCAGTTACAGTTTATTTTCTAATACAATAGACTAAAAGTGAAGGATTAAAAACAATATATTCTATGCTGATGGAAACCAAAAGAGAGCAGAAGTGGTTATACTTCTATCACATAAAATAGACTTTAAGTCAAAAACTGTAAAAAGAGACAAATATGCTTGTTATGTAATGAAAGAGGTGTCAATTTATCAAAAGGATATAAAAATTGTAACTATATATTCTCCCAACACTGGAACACCTAAATATATAAAGCAAGTATTAATAGATGTGCAGGGAGAAATAGACAGCAATACAATAATGGGAGGGAATATCAATACTCCACTTTCAACAGTTGACATAATATCCAGATAGAGAATTAATAAGGAAACACTGGACTTAAAGTACTTTAGACCAAATGAACCTGACAGATGTATGTATACAGAACAATCTATCAACAGCAACAGAATGTACATTTTCCTGAAGCACACACAGAACATCCTCCATGATAGATCATATGTTGGGCCCCAAAATAATTCTTAATAAATCCAAAAAGATTTAAATAATATCAAGTATCTTTTCCAACCACAATGGTATGAAACTGTAAATCAATAACACAAGGAAAGTTAGAAAATTCACAAACGTGGAAATTAAACAACATTCTTTCAAACAACCAATTTGTCAAACAAGAAATCAAAAAGAAAATACAAAAATATCTTGAGACAAAATGGAAACACAACGTACCTAAACTTACGAAATACAGCCAAAAACAGTTCTTTTTTAAATATATATATATTTTTATTATACTTTAAGTTCTAGGGTACATGTGCACAACGCCAAAAACAGTTCTAACAGGGAAATTTATGATGATAAAGAAAGGCAAAAGAAATATCTCAAATGTACAATTTAACATTATGCCTTAAGGAGTAAGAAAAAGAAGAATAAACTAAGTCCAAGTTTAGTAGAAGGAAGAAATAAAAAGATCAAAGCAGGGATAAATGAAATAGACTAGATAAAATTAACAAAACTAAGAATTGCTGTTTTAAAAAGATATAATTAACAAACCTTTAGCTATACTCAGAATAGATGACCAAAATGAAATCATAAATGAAAGAGCTGATATTACAACTGATACCACAATCATAGAAAACTACTAGGAACAATTGTAAGACAACAAATTGGGTAACATGGAAGGAGTGGATAAATTACTAAATGTATAACTACCAAGACTTAATCATAAAAAAAAAGAAACTCAGAATAGACCAATAATGATTAAGGAGACTGAATCAGTAATAAAAATCTCCCATCAAAGAAAAGCCCATGGCCTGATGACTTCATTGATGAATTCTACCAAACACTTAGAAAGAATTAATGTCAAATTTTCTTAGACTCTTCCAAAACATGGAAGAGATGAGAACACTTTCAAACTCATTTTACAAGGCCTGCATCGGCTTGATATAAAAGCCAGAAAAAAAGTACAAAAAAGAAAATACAGGCCAATGTTTGTGATAAAAATAGATAGAAAAATCCTCAGCAAAATAGTAGCCCACCTAATTCAACAGCACATTAAAAAGATCATGTACTGTGATCAAAAAGAATTTATCCCTGGGAAGCAAGGATGGTTCAACATATGCAAATCAAAAATATCATACACTTTTTTTGTGATGCACTACATTAAAAGAAAGAAGGATAAAAATCATATTAATAGATGCAGAGAAAACATTTGACAAAATTCAACAATCCTTCATGAAAAAAACTCCCAGCAAACTAGATACAGAAGATTTGTAGCTAAATGCCATAAAGGTCAAAAATCACAACCAACCTCATATTCCATGTTGAAAGGTTAGAAGACTTTTTTCTAAGATCAAAACAAGTCAAGGATGCCCACTATCTCACTCTCACCACTTCTATTCAACTGGATATCCTAGTCAGAGTAATTAGGCAAGAAAAAAAAAAAAGAAACGCATGTAATTAAGAAAGAAAGTAAATAATCTCTGTTTGCAGATGACATTATATTACATATATAGAAAACCCTCAGAAGTCTATGAAAAACTGTTAGAACTATCAAATTAATGACGTTTCAGGATACAAAATTGATATATACAAAAATCAGTTGCATTTCTACACTATCAACAATGCTTTGAAGAATAAATTAGAAAACAATTCCCTTTACAATGGCATAAAACAGAATAAAAGACTCAGAAATAAATTTAACAAAACGTTGATATTTCTGTAATTAAGAGCTATGAAACATTAATAAAAGAAATTTAAGATGACACGAATAAATAAAAAGATATTCCATGTTGATGAATTGGAAGAATCAATAGTCTCAAAATGTCCATACTACCCAAATTGATCTATATATTCAATGCAAACCCTATCAAAATTAAAATGGCATTTTTACAGAAATTTTTTTAATTTAAAAATTCATATGCAGCACAAAGGATCCTAAACAGCTAAAGCAATCTTCAGCAAGTAGAACCAAGCTGGAGGCATCAATATTATACATCCTGATTTCAAATTACATTACAAAGCCATAGTAATCAAAATAATATGGCAATGGTCATGTATGTACATATATATATATATATACACACTATATATATATGTGTGTGTGTGTGTATATATATATATATATATATATATATATATATATATATATATATACTAATCTTGAACTAATCCTCAAGAAAGGCACCAATAATACACAATAAAATAAAGGATAGCCTCTTCAATAAATGGTGTTGGGAAAACTGGATATCTGCATGCAAAAAATAAAACTGGGTCCTTCTCTTACACCACATACAAAATAAACTAAAATGCATTAAACATTTAAAATTAATGTCTTAAACTGTAAAACTAGATTTAAACAAAGGAGAAAAACTCCATGACATTGATTTTAGCAATTAC
Organism: Homo sapiens; assembly: GCF_000001405.40. Taxonomy (NCBI): domain Eukaryota; kingdom Metazoa; phylum Chordata; class Mammalia; order Primates; family Hominidae; genus Homo; species Homo sapiens. The sequence goes on from NC_000004.12 coordinate 114,533,311, forward strand.
TTTTGTATATGACATCCCAAAGTACAGGCAACCAAAGCAAAATAAACAAGTGGGACTTGTATCAAATTTAAAAGTTTTAGCATAGTGAAGGAAACAATCAACTAAATGAAATTCCAACCTACTAATGGGAAAAATATTTGCAGACCATATATCTGATAAGGGGTTAACATCCAAAACATAAGAAACGCATGCAGCTTAATAACGAAAAAGCCAAACAACTCAATTAAAAATGGGCAAAGAAGTTGAATAGATGTTTTTCCAAAGAAGAAATACAAATGATCAACAGGTACATGAATAGGTACTCAACATCACTAATCATCAGGGAAATAAATATCAAAACTACAATGAGATATCACATCACACCTGTTAGGATAGCTATTACCAAAAAGTCAAAAGACAAGTGTTACTGAAGGTGGAGAAAAGGAAATACTTGTGCATTGTTGGTGGGAATGCAAATTGGCACAGCCTTTCTAAAAAACAATATGGAGGGTCCTCAAAAAATTAAAAATAGGGCTACCATATGATCCAGCAATGCTACTTCTGGGCATATATTCAAAGAAAATAAAATCATTATCTCAAAGTGACAGCTGCACTCTTATGTTCATTGCAGCTTTATTTACAATAGCCAAGATATGAAAACAACCTAACTGTCGGTGGATGAATAGATAAAGAAAATACACATGTATACAATGTAAAATTGTTCTGCCTTAAAAAAGAAGGCAAATCTGACATTTGCAACAACATGGATGAACCTGGAGGACATTATGCTAAGTGAAGTAAGCAAAACACAGGAAGAAAAATCCCCCATGGTCTCACTTGTATGTGGAATCTAAAATAGTTAAACTTATAGAAATGGAGAGTAGAGAGTGGTTACCGGGGGGCAAGGGAAATGGGGGAGATGTTGGTGAAAGATTGCAAACTTACAGCTATAAGTAAGTTCTGGTGACCTAGATTATAGCATGGTGACTATAGGTAATAGTGTATTATATATGTGAAGTTTGCTTATAGTAGAACTTAAATATTCTCATCACACACATACACACACAAACACGCGTATGAAGTTATGTGAAATGATGTTATGTTAATTAGCTTAGCTGTAGTAATCATTTTACCATGTATATGTACATAAAAACTTCACATCATACACCTTGAATATATACAATCCTTATTTGTCAATTATACTTCAATAAAAGTGAAAAAAGGTATGTACAATCACGTAAGAATATAAGTGTACCTAAGGTATTATAGGCGTTCAAAAAGGGGACATTTAATACAGACTGTAGGTGCCAGAGTTTTCCACAGCAGGCAACTTTCATTGAGTTTTGGGTGATAGGGTGCCAGTGATTAGAAATTAGCTAAGCAGAAAAAGTGGGATTCCAGAAACAAACAGAACATGGGCAGATAGATGCATTGTTCATGAGAAGAAAAAAAATTGGCCCAGCAGTTCCAGTATCCCATCAGATGCTCTAACATTTGTAAGATGAGTAGAAAACTAGAATGGGGTCCAAAGACTTATTAGGTGTCCATAGATCCATGGATTGATCATACAATAGTGGAGAATAAAGTCAGTAGAGTGTGGAACTTTCTCACTGTCATTGCTGTTCACTGTTTCCCCTTCTGCCTGTGCCTCACTTCCCTCCATCTCCAGGAACCTCACAGTCTCACACTTCTTTACTCATTTAAATGCCATTCTTTAAAAAGAAAAAAAGTCCCCCTTTAAGACTCTCTGGCATTTTGGAATCACGTCAGGCTATGGAAAACACCAGAGTCAATTTATAGTTGATGTAAATCCACAAGATTTTTACCATGTTGCTTCTGTTCTTTGATATATGGTGATTCTTTATAAGTACCTGATTCTTTCTCATCATGTTGGAAATGTGAGCCCACTCTGACTAAGTTCATATTTAATACAAAACCAACATTTTTTGGTTTTCCTCAGAGATTAAATATTAATGAAAGGAGATGAAGTGGTGCAACAAGAAAAATGTAATTAAAATAGATCCCAACTGGTTTCAACAGCATTAGTAACATGAGAGGAAAAACTGAATACATTTCGTCAAAATACAAAAGTAAAAGTATTTCTAGGACTTGAAAGGTGAGCTAAATGATGAGAACACATGGACACATACAAGTTTACCTATATAATGAATTTGCACATGTACCACTGAACTTAAAAGTTTTTTAAAAGTATTTCTAGGAAAGTACAAACTATTTAAAATCATTAGTTAGTTTTGAACTAAAATCCTTTAAAAATATACAACAAAAAAGGTAGTTTCCAGATGTCCTTTACACTGTTACTGAGAATGTAAAATGTCTTTCATTAATTTGGATTCTTTAAACATTCCTCTATGATCATATTTAAGTGTGAAATTTTACTCCCTATTGTTGTAGATAATCTTTTAGTCAGGTAATGAATAGCACATGGTACAGAAAAACATATACATATACATTTTCATTTCAGCTTTTCTGAAGCCCCATTGTTTATTTCAGGCTGCTTTACTGAGACTCCTTGCACTAAACGCCTCTGGTTGCATTCCACTCAAGACAAAGGCATATTTTAGGGATGTACCTCTGACAAAGAGGTATTTATGGACCAGGAATCAGACTTTGGACAAATGGGCATTTCATTATAACACAGCCTAATTGTTAAAGCTCTTATTGAAAAGAATAAAAATTTCATTAGTCATCACAGGAACTCAGCACAAACTCCTCCTCCTTTTCCCCACAATGCACAGAAAGAATGGCAGCTTTAAGCTTATCATTGAACATTTTGAAGGCTTTGGTCCTTCCTTCCTTTTGTTCCACTTGCACTAAGAAGTATTTTAGTAACAATTGTGAAATAACTGTGGTAATAATTTTAACGAAATTTTATAAATGTAATTGTTAAAAAAAAAAAAAAGCAAAACTCTGCAATCACTGACAAATGAAATTCCAGTTAGGAGCAGCTGGAGGGCCTGTTCTTGCATGTTCAGGGCTCTAGTATAATTTTCTGGGACTATGAAGAATTTATAAGATAATTTTGGGGCTCAACTAAGATAAAGACAAAAGTGATTTACAAATCGTGAAGTTTATATAAATTTAAGGGAGTAAAGTTTGCATGAGTAATTAATATCACCACAACGGTTTTTTATTTCAATGTCTTTTCAGCTTCCAGGAAGCATAGGGATTGATTACTGCCTTAAGTGTAAAAACTGAAATGGTGAAGGACCAAGATACAATCCAGATCACTATCTAGGGATCAGAAATGCTGACATTAATTAGGTGATGATGTTGTAGAAGTCATGTAAACTGTTGGAAGATCAGTGTATTCAAATTTGGAAAAGGTGAAGGTTAGACTAGATGAGGACCATAAACACATGGCAACCAACAGCCCTAACACTTGAGCAACGTTTGCTAACTGATCACAGAAGTGCTTCTGGCTAAGACAGAGTTCATTCTCAGAATCTTGCTCTCATAGAACCCCAATTAGAGCTGGTTGTCTGTGTTTAAACCTATTAAACACACTGAGACTACAGACAATTTTTTAGGGTTTCTTTCTTCCAGATATAAGAAGTGATAGTTGCCGTGATTTATAAATAAATCATATTACTCCTTTGCTCAAAGTCCTCTAGTGGCTCAACTTTTCACTCAGAGTAAAAGTTTAAGTCTTTAATTAGCCCACTATACAATCTCATTTTTCTTGCCCCTCCTTCCTCATCCCTCACCTCTTTTCTTCTCTCACTCAACCTGCCCAATCACACTGGTATACTGTTTATTCATGAAACACACTAAGCATTCCCCTGTCTCAGAAACATCGCAATGACTATTCCCTCTGCCTAGAATGATCTATTTCTAAATATCCGCCTGCTCACTCCCTTATCTCCTTCTAGTCTTTAATAATCTTAACTTTTCAATAGTTTACACAAAACTTAGCAAAATACAACTCATGGGCCAAATCTGGCAACTGCCTCTTTTTGTACAGCTCAAAGGTAAATGTTTTAGTCTATTTAATGTTGCTATAAAAGTATACCGAAGGCTGTTTAATTTTCAAAAAAAAAAAAAGAAAGAAAGAAAAAAGAAAGTTTACTTGGCTCACGATTCTGCCGGCTAGAAGATTGGGCATCTGGTGGAAGCCTCAGAGTGCTTCACCCATGGTAGAAAGTGAAGGGGAGCTGCCATGTGCAGAGATCACATGGTGAGAGAGGAAACAAGGGAGGGACTAAGAAGGGGCCAGGATCTTTTCAACAACAAGTTCTTATGGGAACTAATAGAGTGAAATCTCACTCATTACCATGAAGATTTGTGAGGGATCCACCCCATGACTCACATAGGTCCCATTAGGCCTCACCTCCAACATTGCGGATCAAATTCTGACATGAAGTTAAGGGGAACAAACATCCAGACTATAGAAATCTGCCCTGATCTCTCAAATCTTATATCCTTCTCACATACAAAATATAATCATTTAAACCTAATAGTCCCACAAAGTCTTAAATTGTTTCAGCATAGACTCAAAAGTCCAAAGTCTCGCCCAAGACTCAAGGCAAGTAAGTTCCTTAAAACTGTGAGTCTCAAAAACAAATGATTTACTGGGAAGATACAATGGTTGTATAGGCATTGGGTAAATGTTTCCATTCAAAAAAGAAGATATTGGCCTATAGAAAGTGGTAAAATGCCCCATACAAGTCTGAAACCTAGAAGGGTTAGACATTAAGTCTTAAAGCTCTAAAGTAATCTTTGACTTCATGTCCCCATCATGGGCACACTGGTAGAAGGGGGCACCCAAGGTTTTGGGCAGCCGTATTTCCATGGCCTTGCTGGGCGCAGCCCAGGTAGCTGGTCTCATCGGTTGGAGTTAAATGCCTGTGGGTTTTCCAGGCAATGGGTGCACAGTATCAGTGGCTCTATAATTCTGGAGTCTGTGCAGCAGTGGCCCTGCTCCCATAGCTCCAATAGGTACTGTCCTACTAGAGGCTCTCCATGATGGCTCTGTCTCGGTGGCAAGTTTCTGCCTGGGCGTCAAGGCTTTCTTATACATCCTCTGAAATCTAGGTGGAAGCTGCCAAGCCTCCACCACTCTTGCATTCTGTGTGCCTGCAGACTTAACACCACATGGATGCCACACAGGCTTATTGTTTGCACTCTCCAGAGGAGCAATCCAAGCAGTACATGGAGCTGTTTGACCCATGGCTGTAGCCAGAGCAGTTGGAATGCAGGAAACAACATCCTGAGGTGGCATTAGGACAATGGGGCCCCAGGCTTGGCCCCTCAAACCATTATATTATCCTGAACCTCTAGACCTATGACAAGAAAGATGATCTCTTTGGGACCTTTTCTCCCACTGTCTTGACTACTGGCACCAACCAGGCTCTTTTCTATCTCTGCTAATGATAGAGACTTTCTGTCTATCAATAAGAGCACAAATTCCATGATGTCAGAGATTTTTTTGTCCATTTGATTCCCTGATATATTCCCAGTACCTGAGCAGTGTCTGACTCATAGTTGGTATTCAATAATACATTTTTTTTGGTATAAATGAATTCTATAGATGATACTTTCATTAAGCAGAAATAAATTAGGTTATTTAGAAAAGCCTTCAGGAGAAGATGATATTTGAGTGTTAAAACATACTAAGGACTTAGAAAACATTTTTCCTTAAAGGGGTACCAAATGAAGAGAGAAAAACAATGCACAAGATCTTTTCATAAAAAATGGTGTAGAGCAGTCTAAATGTAGAGCCCATGACGTGGAAAGGTGGTGAGAAGTGGGTTGAACCCAGATTGTGGAGGGCCTGCAATGTCTGATTAAGATGCTTGAGTTTAATACTTAAAAAATGAATATTTCAGGAAGATATAGCTGATAATTATATATATCATATGTAATATATATTATATATATCAATATATTATGTATAATATATATTATATGTAATATATTACATATAATAATATATATTATATGTAATATATATATATATAATTATATATAATATATAATATAATATATTATATATAATATATTATATTTAATATATAATAAATTATATATATAATATATAATAAATTATATATATAATATATATAATAAACTATATATAATATATATAATAAACTATATATATAATATATATAATAAACTATATATATTATATATATAATAAACTATATATATAATATATATAATAAATTACATATATAATATACATAATAAACTATATATATAATATACATAATAAATTATATATATAATATACATAATAAACTATATATATAATATACATAATAAATTATATATATAATATACATAATAAATTATATATATAATATACATAATAAATTATATATATAATATACATAATAAATTATATATAATATATATAATAAATTATATATATAATATATATAATAAATTATATATATAATATATATAATAAATTATATATATAGAATATATATAATAAATTATATATATAAAATATATATAATTATATATATAAATATAATTATATATATATATATAAATATAAATAAAGGTTGGAGTGGGTAAAATAATATATAAGAATTGCAGTAGCCCAGGCTCAGATGACTCAATATTTCATATTGGGCAGGCAGATGGGATGAAAAAGATAGAATGGCATTTAAGTGACTAAACAGCTGTGAGACTGTGAGGTCCCTAAAGATGGAAGGAAGTGAGGAACAGGCAGAAGGGGGAATAGTGAACAGCAATGACAGATGATTCCACACTCTAATAATTTTATTTTCACCTTTTATTTTAGGTTCAGGGAGTATATCCACAGGTTTGTTACATAGGTAAATTGCATGTCACTGAGGTCTGGTGTACAAAGGATCCCATCACCCAGGTAGTGAGCATGGTATCTAATGAGTAGTTTTTCAACCCTCACCCTCCTGGCACCCTCCTCCTTCTAGTAGTCCCCAGTACCCAGTGTCTGTTGGTTCCATAAGATGATTTTATTTTATTTTTTTATCATTCATTTAGGTTCAGGGTATATGCACAGGTTTGTTGTATAAGTAAACTCATGTCATAGGGGTTTGTTGTACAGATTATTTTGTCACCCAGTTACTAGGCCTAGTAAACAAATTTTTTTATTTATATATTTTTATTTTTATTTATTTATTTATTTTTTGCTCCTCTATCTCCTCCTACCCTCCACCCTCAAGGAGGCCCCAGTGTCTCCTGTTTCCATTTTTGTGTTCATGAGTTTTCATCATTTAGCCCCCGCTTGTAAGTGAGAACATGAGGTCTTTGGTTTTCTGTTCCTGCACTCGTTTGCTAAAGATAATGGCCTCCAGCTCCATCCATGTTCCTACCAAAGACATAATCCCATTCTTTTTTATGGCTGCATAGTATTCTACGGTGTATATGTACCACATTTTCTTTATTCAAGCTGTCCCTGATGGGCATATAGGTTGATTCATTTCTTTGCTATTGTGAATAGTGCTGCAATGAACATTCACATACATGTGTCTTTATGGTAAAATGATTATATTCTCTTGGGTATATACTCAGTAATGGGATTGCTGGGTTGAATGGTAGTTCTACTTTTAGCTCTTTGAGGAATCACCACACAGCTTTCCACAGTGGTTGAACTAATTTACACTCCCACCAACAGTGCCTAAGTGTTTACTTTTCTCTGCAAACTCACTAGCATTTGTTATTTTTTATTTTTTTTAATAATAGCCATGCCAACTGGTGTGAGATGGTATGTAATTGTGGTTTTGATTTGCATTTCTCTAATGATCATTGATGTTGAGCTTTTTTCCATAGGCAATCCTATCCTTCTAGAAATGGGCAAAGATTTCATAAGAAAGATACTAAAAGCAATCACAATAAGAACAAAAACTGACAAGTGGGATCTACTTAAATGTGAGAGCTCTTGCACAGCAAAATACTATCAACAGAGTAAAGACAGCTGACAGAATGGAAGAAAATATTTATAAACTATGCATCTGACAAAGGTCTAATATCCAGCATCTATAAGGAATTTAAATTTACAAGAAACAAACAGCCCTTTTAAAAAGTGGGCAAAGGACATGGACAGATACTGTTCTAAAGAAGATGTATAGGTAGCCAAAAAGCATTTTTTTAAAAGATGATGTTAAATTGTGTTCTCTTCATCATATCTTCTCTATTTGATTTTTAAAAAATTACATTATTTTTCACAGAAACAAAAAATATAAAGCTGTTTTTATTAAACTATAAAAAAGACAGCAGGTTAGATGTATAGCAAAAAACTTATTTTGTTTTGATATTAAAAACAAATTCATAGTACAATACATAATAAGTATTTGCTATGAAGGAAATTAGTGTCAAGCATATTTTGGGATAGGAAAGTTTGGGATAATCATTAATGTTCAAGTAAGCTGTTAAGTACATTTGAAATTTTTGTATTCCAGTAAAAGCAGGTAAAGTGATTGATTGAGATTATGGATTTTGGAGATTAGACCTGGATCCAGTCCTAAAGAATCATTTACTTTCAGCTTACCTTATCTTTAAAATAGGTGTTTACAAAGGGTTATTTAATAGAATTAACATGATAAAGAATATAAAACACTACCTAGTGAGTAGCTATTCCAAAAATAGTAGCTATTATTGTTATGGATTGTGTAAATACATATGTAAAGACAATCAGGGTTTGAAAACAAACAATATTTATTTAATCTCTACTTAATTAGCTCAACTTAATACCAGGAACTATTGAGTGTCAACTTGATTGGATTGAGGGATGCAAAGTATTGTTCCTGGGTGTGTCTGTGAGGGTGTTGCCAGAGGAAATTAACATTTGTCAGTGGAATGGGAGAGGCAGACCCACCCTAAATCTGGGTGGCCACCATCTAATCAGCTGCCAGCAATGGTAGGATAAAAGCAGGCACAGGAAACATGGAAAGACTAGACTGGCTTAGTTTTCCAGCCTACATCTTTCCCCGGTGCTGGATGCTTCCTGTCCTCAAACATCGAACTCCAAATTCTTCAGCTTTGGGACTCTTAAGACTTTCTACCACAGACTGAAGCCTGCACTGTTGACTTCCCTACTTTTGAGGTTTGCGGACTCAGAGTGGCTTCCTTGCTCCTCAGCTTGCAGACAGCCTATTGTGGGACCTCACCTTGTGATCATGTGAGTCAATACTCCTTAATAAATGCCCCTTTATATAGACATCTATCCTATTAGCTCTGTCCCTCTACAGGACCCTGACTAATATATTGTTACATGTTGAGGATGCACAGATGAGCAAGGCCCTGACCTGACTTTAATAAGTGACCTATATTTAATAAAGTGTTTCAGACGCTATGACTGAAGTTCCAAGAGGGCAGAGAATTTAGACCACGCCACCACCACAAAGGAATTTCAACAAATAAAACCATGTGCTTTTTGTGTGGCCTGATGCTTTTCACTAAAAATATACATAAAACCTTCTATTTGGAAGTCATTCATTTTTTTCCACAGTTATATATATTGAGCATCTTCCATTTCCATGCACTTTTCTTGGAGCTGGACATATAGCAACAAGGAAGACAGTATTTCTTCTCTCATGGAGGTTTCAATCTAATAAAAGGAGAAAAATCATCCTGGAAAAGTAAATAATTAAAACAAGTTTAAAAAATAGGCAAGATAAATTCAGTCAGTTATACATACTATAAAGAAAATGAAACCTAGGTGGTACGACTGACCACTTTTAGAGATAAAGGACTACATTGGATAGAGTACAGAGTAAGTCTTCTCTGAAAGAGGTGTACCTGGCTGGCACCCAGATTATAAAACACCAGCCAGGCAGAAAGAAAAAAAAGAAACACATTGGAAAAAGAGAATTCCAGATACAGGGAATAGTTAGTACAAATCACTTCAGGAGGGAACAAACTCAGCCAATTCAGTGAACAGGACTGTTTAACAATATAGAGAAATAAGGAAAAGAGAATAAAGCTATGAAATCAGAGAAGTATTCTCAACTATAAGCCAAATACAAGCACTTCAATGTGGCAGAAAGTTACAGAGAATGATTTCATTTCTATATGCAAGGATTTAACTCAATGTTCTAGAACTCTTGAGGTTATCTACTTTTCCTAATCATCTAAGTAAAATTTTTTATTCAACCAATAAATACTTGTGAACACCTATGCAGAACAAAGACTTGAAGACATTTAACCCATAGGAGAGCTCAGAAATTAGGACCTAATTCTGAGGAAGAGATCACATCTGGTTGGGCAAATCTGAGAAGGTTTTGTGATGAAGTTGGCATTTGAGCTAGGGTAGGTAGGTAAGATTTAGGCATATAAAACATGATGATGTTGAAGGGGCACAAAAAGTCATTCCAGGAAAAAGCATGAAGAAAGTCATAGAAATAAGTGGTTAAGGCAAGAGCATGTTGTTTGAAATTATTACTTTAAAATGGCTTTAAGTTTTAAAATTCAATAGACCATTGTCAAAGCTCAACTTGATCTTGTCACATTATCGTCTCCCACTTTCCTTAGCAAGAAATTATATGTGTGTTAATCACAATTCTGAGAGATACATCACACATCTAAATACACGGAGCAGTCAGGGAGGTGGGACGAGCAGGTCATTCCTCCTAACCTCACGACATAGTCATGCTAAATCTTCTGCTCCTAAGTGCAGCACACTGGGGGAAAGGAAAGGCCAAAAGAGGGAGGGTCATCAACTGCAGAGTTCCACGGGGTTCCAGGTGATTGCAGGTTATAAAGCAGCTTGGTGCCTGTATAGGCTTAGTAAATCAAGAAGTGATGTTAAGATAATGGAAACAGCCTGCTTTGTATAAATTTGTTTACTCTGTTCTCAATAGGTAACATAATTTGCATCATATGCTCTATTTATGACACACCTGGATTCAGAAATGAGGTCATTAAGTTATAAACTTCATCTGGTTCTTTTGTGAAAAATAGACATCAACTATTAGCCCACTTATAAAATAACCTGTATAAATTGTACCACCTGTCTCCATGAAGCCTCTTCAAGTGTTCACAAATGTCATTTCAGATGATATTTCAAAGTTATGTATGTGTTTCTTCTGTAATATGTCAAGTTTGCAATGGGTTTTTATTGCAATGTTTCTGGTTGATTAATGTGAGATCAAACAGACCATAAGGACATAAACTGCTGATCCATATGGGTAGGGTGGGACTGGAGATGGCCTTCAGCAGATGAAGCTGAAGACAAAGCACAATTACATTTATAATAAAGTCATGGAGTCTTAGATTTCTACGTAGTAACTTCTTTAGATCTATTTATTTGAACAACTTGCAATCTTCTACCCTCTTGCAGTTGTCAGGCACTTAACATATTTCGAATAATTAATAGGGTTGATGTTTAGGCAAATTGGAAAACAAAAAGATCTTAAGATTTAATCTTTTGGGGTTAGTCATAAAGGGGCAGAATTTTCATGAGCATTAGTTCTTCAGCATTTTATTTAATTCTGTCAGTGATAGAAACATTCTGCCATTTATTGATCCAAGGAATGTTTGCGGAGAATCTGCTCTGTAACAGCCATGGTGCTGGAAGCTAAGGATTCAATGTGGCAAAAACAGGGAGAGTCCCTGAATCAGCTAAACCACTAAACCATAGGAAAGTAACCCACTACAATACAAAGAATGAGGAAACTGCGGTGGATGGAGAAGCACCACACCCGGGCTCTGAGTCTCAGGGATGGCTGCCTGAAAAAACTACCATATAGGCTGAGACATAGGTAAGCTGTAGAAAAGTGATGGACAAGGAAAAGTCCCACATGTGCAGAACCTAGCTCTTTTCAGGAAAGCTGTGCTGGAGTATCAGGATCAGGGTCCCTGATAACCAATCTAAATCAGGTCATTCACTAATACTATTTAAATGTATCCTCTACTTTTATTTTTTTAAACAAAAACTTAATAAGTGTGATTCTATATTTATGTGATTTTAAAAAAATTCTATCTCCTCATGTCCTGCTTTGTTCACCCCACTTTTTGGCACATAGTAGGCACTCAGTGTTTGTTGAACCAATGAAAGGGCAAATACCTGAGAGGTGAGAGAGGGAATAGAAGAACAGGCTCTAGAGAGTTAGCCAGGGGATAAATCAAGCAGGTTTTTTTGGCCACACTGGGGAGTCTTACCTTCATCCTAAGAGTAGCAGGAGATAGAGAAATGTTTAAAGCCGTGGTTGCATTTTAGAAAAATCATTTTGCTTACAATGTAAGGAACAGACTGGAAAAGAGTAGAGGTAAATCTATCAGTTACCTGAGAAAACAGTGATTATGTCATTGGGGATGGACTTGAGAGACAGGAAAAGAAATTGATAAAGCTTTGTGACTGGTTAAATAAGAAAGAGGGAGAATAATGTTTTCCAAGATGACCCATAGCTTTCTGCACTGGGAAGCTAGATGAATCACCAAGAAAAGCAATGTTTTGTCTTTGATTTTGGTAATGAAGGGAGAAATGACAGATTCCATTTTGAGCATAAGTTTAATATGCCCACGGGTCATATGAGAGATGGCAAGGTGGAAGGTGGATGTAAACCTCTGAAGTTCATGAGCGAAATCTTGGTTAGAGATGGAGATTTATGAGCTACTAGAATATAGATAATAATTAAAGTTTTCACTGATGCAGCTGAAAGGACTTCTGGAGAACTTGCTTCTCTTGTCAAATTCTTAAAGGTCTCTCTTTTAGGCTGATTTTAACTAATTTATAAGCTGAGAAATAAGTCACAAAAGATGGTTTATAACTTTGGGGAAAAGGACATGGCCAGTTTTTCAAACATTGTGAAGGCCAGTATCATGGGAGAGCCACAAAGTGACAGTTGGACTCCATAGGTCTTTACATCTCAGTTCAAAGTGCATTTTCAGCTCCTAGCTGGGTAATGAATTTTTGTCACTAGTCTTCTTCGGATAAGAGACATACATAGCGGACACTGTTATCCGAAAATACTAAATTCATCTGGCCCCGCTAGTGTTTACATATACCATTGTCCCCCACCTCACATTTAAATTGTCTTTCTGATGCACGCACCTTCACCATAGAATCTTATTTGATACTTTGACACCGCCCTTTCATTTTTAGTTTTGCTATGACCTGTGTAGCAGAGGAGGACCACATGTGCCTTGGATGTGTTTTGATTGTTTTGTTATGGCAACAACGTCTTAAAAAAGTTTTAATGGCATTACACTTCATTACTATACAAGCACCTTAGCATTAATTGTCTTTCATCCTATTTAATTTTGGTATTTATGTTAAATGCATGCCCTCTGCTTATATTTGGTTTGTGCCCCTTACCCTGTACCATTAAGATCAAGGACAAAAGCACATACAAGTTATCAAAGTGGAAAAGAGGAGGAAAAAAGTAAACTAATGTGTGTAATGGACATTGAAAGGAGGAGTATTTTATTAAAACCTTCCTGAAGAGGTTTAAAAACTAACTAAAATGGTTTCCCATTTTGCCAGATAGACCTGGCAAAGGTAACTACATAATCAAAGGTGAAACATGAGTGAATATTTTCAAGGATGTGTAGGCAGTACAGTGTTAAGTATATAATGTTTGCAGGCAATAATGAAGGACTCCAAATGCCATGGTAAGGGTTTTGACATATCTTAGGCAGCAGACAGTCAGGAAAGTGACACCACAGAAAAGTATAATCAGACTTTTATTTTAGAAAGTACATCTTGGCAGTAATCATGGATTTGAAGGAAATAAGGCCAAAAAAACTAGGTCATTTTTTATGGCATTCACATCTAAATAAATTCAGAATCCACCATACTACAGAAATCTTGATGTCTGAAATTTTGAACCATAACCTCTTGCTCTTTCAAGTCTCCCAGTAAATTCAACCCTCGTTATTTTTAGGGCCAAAAGCCTTTCAACCATTTTTTTCCCCCAAGCTTATTTTTCTTTTCTATCCCTATGAAGCCTAAAACACATAGATCAACATTTCAACTGTACACTCAGTGACATCTCAGATTCTTTTTTCCCCTAAGTCTAACCTTTTTGCCAATTCTTAGTTCAAGGTACACTCAACGAAATGTACTAGTACCTTGGTTCTAAATAATCTTTACAAAAAGCATGCATTTAGATTGGTTGTCTTTATGATAAGCCCTCAATGTTATCTTTCAATCCTTTCATTCACCTCTGTTTTATCTCCCTATCTTTTATTCACCTCTGTTTATCTCCCCATCTTTGTAGGTTCTAGTTCCCTACTCCTGGAAATTATAAACATTTCCCAGGAGGTTTGTTAAAAGTTTTACAACCCAATCCGGATGTAGATAAATAGATCCTGACCTCATAAAACCTATCTTCCGGTTCACACTCACTCTACTGCATCTAGTTAATCTTCCAAGCAATGATTCTGGTGCATCAGAAATTTATTATCCTTAATTCATCTTAAAAATGCAGATTCTTGAAATGCACCCCAGGCCTAATGAGTCAAATTATCTGAAAGTGGAGCTCAGAAATTTCCAATTCTAAGAAACCTCCTGTGTGATTCCTGGGTACACCAAAGTTGCAAACTACAGCTTTAAAAACTGTGTGGAATGAGAAGCAAGAGAAAACAATGAATTGTAGGAGCCCAAGGGGCAAATAATATCCTGCTCTCATTTCCTTCCAGTCATAGCATGAAACCAAGCCACTTCACAGCAAAACTAAAGAAAGCCTTTCAAAGTGTTTAGTGTGTGGACATGAGAACTATATATAAGAAAAGTTGATATGAGTCATAACTCAGTGTAATTGCATCCTGTTATCAACAAATATAGGTGATGTTATAGACATTTAAGTTTAGGGGCATAGCATAAAAAACTAAGGAAAGTAGACTATTGACACATAGTCACTTTTTAGCTCCTTGGTCTTCTTGAGGTTTTTGTGTAAGTTAGAAACTTGATTGAAATAATAAATCCATTTGCTAGAAAATAAATCTTAAAATTTTGATTTGTATTGTGAACTCCAAATATCTGAGACAGCTCCCAGTCAACGGAGAAAGTTTATTTTGCCAAGGTTAAGGACATGTGCCTGTGACAAAGACTCTGGAGGTCCTGATAACATATGCTCAAGGTGGTTGGGACACAGCTTGGTTTTATACATTTTAGGAAGACATGAGAGATCAAACAATATATGAAAGATGAACACTGGTTCAGTCCAAAATGGTGGGACAACTGGAAGCAAAGGTGAGACAACTTGAACTAGGGAGGGGACTTTCAGATCATAGGAAGATAAGAGACAACCAGCTGCACACTTTTGAGTTTCTAATTAGCCTTTCCAAAGGAGGCAATCAGATATGCACTTCCCTCAGTGAGCAGAGGGATTACTTGGAATAGAATGTGAGGCAGGTTTGCCCTAAGCAGTTCCCAGCTTGACTTTTCCCTTTGGCTCAGTGAGTTGGGGGTCCCAAGATTTATTTTCCTTTTACATTTCTCCCCTTGTCTTTTTAAGACTCTTTCGGAGAAAGTATTTTAGAAGAAAATGAATCTCTGGTCTCAGGTTTCATCTAATCTTTAATGGCTAGGATGGTTTGTTCCTAGACAGGTAGGTCCCATATTATTAGGGAAGCTCATTTTTAGCAGGTTGTGAAGTCTCACGTCCTAGGAAGAGAAAATAAGAAGAGGTAGGGAGAAAAAACAACAATAAAAAACCAACAATCATGAAAAACTGATATAGGCCATATTACTCTGATGTCCATACATCACCAGTCAGGTATGAAAGTAGCTTATATATGTAAATAGGTTGCTGTTATTTCTTCTGAAGTTTAAGTTGTCTAGCTTCAGTTTGCAGGGCTTCAAGAAAACACAGCTTAGTGTTCAGTGATTCAAAATTAGGAAAAATGGGGAGAAAGAAAGAAGAAAAAAATTGAAAACATTATTTTGGAGACTTATAGCCAAGAAAAATTAGAATTCACTCTGAACTGTTGAAAATGATAAAAAATTATAAAAACATTAGGTGAGAATAGAATCTAACAACAGGTAGACTATAGTTTTTGAAACAATTTTTCTCTCTCCAGTTTCTCATTTTTCCTAAAGACAGATCATGGTAGGACCAATTTGCTTTATAATACTTGGCCTGATTATTTGTATAAAGTGCAGCAGGAATAATCATTTTTCACATGGGCTTTTTAATTGGCTTTGATGAAACTTTGTTACATAGAAGAAATCTCAGACAAGACTTATTTTGTGGATTTGTACCATCAAATACCTGTGAGCTAGGTAAATTCCTCTCCTCTTAAGGTCCCATGATAACTTGGGGCTCCCAGGCCTGTCAGAAAGTGACAGTCTTTACTTACCACAGGTCAGGAACCCTGTACAGGGACTGTGTAGACAAGGTATGAGGGTAGTTTTCCCAAGGGGTTTTTCTTGTCTCTGTAAGTCAAGTTTATTTCCAGTCAAGTTTGTTGACCATCCCAGCCAAAGCCTTGGTAAGGTAACCAGTTTCTCCAACGGTTTCCTGTTGCAAAAAAAGACATTTTTATTGCACTTATGCAAATAACTATATTCCCATTAAGTTAAGAATACTCACAAATAGTTTCAAAATTCTGGAGAAATCAGGTAGAGAGAAATAAATATGCTCCAAATATTGTTGCTACAAGCTGTCAACAGCTCAAAAGAAAAGTTTTCTTGACTCTGCAAAACAAAGCAAATGATCAGCAACAATTTAAGTAAAAAAGTCAAAAGACTACTTCAGTCTTCCATTAGTTCAGTTCATGCAGTTAACTCCTGTTCTGCTTGATATTCATGAACATTTCAGCTCTCCATGAGAGTCCAGAAAGGTTTTCTTCTATTCTAATGTCAAAATTTCCAAAGTTATCAGAACACTGCATTCAAGAACACCTCTTAGGGTTTTATAGCAGATTATAAAATCACCTTCTAAAGAGAACCAAAACAAAACAACAGTTGTCAGTGAATGACAAAAAGTTTTAGGGCAGCCACAGTCAAGGACACAACTGACAAGGAAATTTGTTACCTCTGTGGCACACAATAATTTAACATAGCAATTATTATTATTACTGATGGTGTACACTAAGTCATATCAGAATTAAAGGATTTTCCCATAACTTGGGAACATATACCAATAATCTATTTATACAAATACAGCCCAAAGAAAGCCAAACACCATTTCATATTTAAAATTCTTCCTGTATGATTTTTATACCAAATAATCCTAATATATAATTTTTGGACTTTATGGAACCTAATATCTTAAAGAGATATGTCTTTAAAAAGACATAATTTATCATTTGATTTTGGAAAGTTTCTCAAATATTAAAGGTTTAAAATGCTTGATGCTTGATATTATCACAAAGTAAGATCACAGGTCATTGTAAAACAAGTTCCTCATTTTGCCAAAGTGATAACTCAAAGATTTGAAAAAAAAAGGCAAAAACCTTTATTCTTTGAGAGAGTAGATTTAATTTTCCAAACACTAAGCCCTAATAAAAACAGCATGAGGCCAATTAAATGTTTTTCAAAATTTTATAAACAATCTATAAAATTTTAATCATTTTGACCATAAGATGTAATTTCTATAAACCTTTTATAACCTTTATAATCCTTATTAAAGAGAGGATTAATGCTTCAAGAAAACCTTGTTAATCTGACATAGGGGCCCATATGCTGGTGTTGCATCAGTGTGTTTTTGACATTAATGGTTAATTTATAGAGAAACTAAACTTATCTCTCATAATTGGTCCTTAAAATTTCATGTGCCCATCCCTTTTGTGAGAGTCCCTGGGACTTGAGGAGTTGAATAGCTTTAATTTCTGGTCCTGTGTCTCACACAGTTTATTTTTATTGGCATCATTTACCAAGTCTGAAGATAAAGCTTTAACTGCTGTCAATGTTAAGATTTAGCAGGACTTGGTGTCCTTTTTAGACCCAGGAGTCAAAGCCCTGTATCTTAATGGTACAAGGACTTTAAAAGCACATACAAAAAGTTACATGAATGTAATAACTTTAATTAACATTTTTTAATCTGTTCTTTTCTAAGCCCATCAAACTTAGTATTAATGACATAGAAATTATTTCAATAAAGCGTATGTGTTTATTAGGCCAGTTACCCAAAGGCAAAGAAGAGACCTTCTGCAGTGCGACTGCTATTCTCTAAGAGGAATATTATGTTGGAAGGAAACATTTCCTTTAGACTTTCAAGATAAAACTTTTTTTTTTCTTTGATAGCATCAAAACAGTTAGAACCTGAAGGAAACAAAAAAACACTTACCAGAGCTGAAAATGAGTTGAAGTATAGAGTTATTGTTTCAGCCCTTTTAAAAGGGGAGAGAAAGCTAAAAACAGCAAGAAACAATAAAAGTTGAACTTATTGTAAAAAAAATTATAATGTCTTATAATTTATTAAGAATAAAGCAATACCTTAAGAAAATTTTGTAGTTTGAACCAATTCTTTAGTGTATAAGGTTTTTAAATCAAAACTAAATCTCTAGAAATATTATAATTTCCCTTTAATTATAGACAACTTGATCATATAAAAGTTTTTTTCATAAATCTTCTCATTAAGACTCACACAGACCATTCATGACCTGCCTGGACTTCCTTGTTTGTGTTGAAGATCCCTCTTTCTTCCACAAACAATCATTTTATTCTAGGGTAAAATTTAGCATACAAGATTATTTCTCATATAAAATTAATTTTCTTTAAGCTTTCTTACCAAAAAAATACCTCTTTATTTCTATAACTTTCTTTATATCTCTTATTTCCTGGTTCCTTTTACCTTGTTTTATACATAACCTTTAAGTAATCTTTGAATTTAACAAAAATTATTCAACTTTTAAAAATGGACACACTTTTTTTTAGAAAAAGAATGTTTTCCTACAATATGTTATTGGAAAATACCCAATTAATGAAATATCAATTATTTAATTTAACTTTAGATTATAAATTATGGCAAGTTTGTCTACAGTTATCTTTCCAATTACATTTACTTATTGTATTTTAATAGTTTACTTATTTATGAAAACTGAGATAGTCATCATTTAAAGTTATGACACCACCATTGTAAAATTATAACAGATACAGTGAAAGAGATCTCACCTAACTGACTCCATCTTGCTTCCAACCTCTAAGCTGTCCTTGTTCATTCCTGGGTGTAGGCCAAACTAACTTTGGGAGGAACTAGTTTATAGTTAGCTTTGAAACAAAGATGATAACAGTTCTTTCCCAAAACAAACCCCCTACCTGCCTGGGGGCTAAACTGCCTAAAGCCATGAGATTAGAAATTATGGTCCAGGACTCATGCAGCTGGAGACTTCAAGACTCCAAATCTTCTCAAATTGCTCATAGAGATAAAATCACTATTGTAAAATGTAGTATTTGGCAGAGATAAGTATGAAATCACTTTATCAATAAATGCAAATAAAATGTATGCTGGCAATTTTTAAGACACTTCTAATATTACTTCACAAATAATTTTCAAGCTAGCTTATTTATTAAAGATTTCAATTCAGTCATACAAGCTTGAAAAAGCATTTGACTAGTCTTTTCTCTGTTCCCGATAAAGTATTTAAGTACTTTTTCTTAAGCCAATTAATTAGAGCTTTTTAATATATTTTCAGTAGTGAAGCATTGTGCACACAATACATAGATACATAGATGTATTAGACATGGTGATAGAAGAACATCTTAAAGATTCATAAGACCTTTTTTTATTGTAGACTTTCAAATTCTTGATAACCTGTTTCATTACCCTAGGCAATTGACAGCTAAATAACCCTGAATTTGTATATTGAAGGAGGCAACTCTCAGGTGAAAAATCAGATAGGAAAATTTACATATCAAACTACAGGAAGAAAAATGTGCTAGAGGGAAATTAGAACTGATTTAATTGCCAGTTAAACATAAAGTTAAGTAAATCAGCCAGGCGCAGTGGCTCATGCCTATAATCACAGCACTTTGGGATGCTGAGGCAGGTGGATCATCTGAGGTCAGCAGTTCAAGACAAGTCTGGCCAGCATGGTGAAACCTTATCTCCACTAAAAATACAAAAATTAGCTGGGCAGTAGTGGTGCAAGCCTGTAATACCAGCTACTCAGGAGGCTGAGATGGGAGAATTGCTTGAGCCTGGGAGGCAGAGGTTGTGGTGAGCCGAGACCATGCCACTGCACTCCAGTCTGGGCAACAGAGTGAGACCCTGTCTTAAAAAAATATAAAGTCATTTTAAAGATATATATACACACACACACTCACACAGAAAGATCTTATGACTTTTATTTCAGAAATCTAGCCATGAGATATTAATACAAATTTATCAGCTTGCAAGAAAAAAAAAAAAAAGTTGGGTCCCAATAGTAATTTTTATCTCAGTAGCAAAGTAACAGCAGCTTTAAAGTAGGCAGAAAAGAAAATAGAGAAAAAGAGAGCTTAGGAACTCTACAGTGTACAGGTTGACTTCAGTGCTCTTTTTTCTTGAAGTAAATGTGCACAAAGACCTTAATATTTCCATTTTACACTGACTCTAGCAAGTAGAGGTGCCATAAAACTAATGGAATGGTGAAAAGGGGTCATTCTCATTATCATTCTTAGATCATTTGTTTCCCACTTTTTCTTTCTTTCTTTTCTTAAGAGAAAGAACTGAGCTGTGGCCTAGGGCTTTTGTGAAGTGCATTGAAGTGTGCTGGTGTTACTAGTTGAAGGTGTCCAGGTTCTTGGCATCTTGAACAAGGAAGTGGACAAAATGCACAAACAAAGCAAGGAAAGCATAAAGCAAGGAAAGCATGAAGCAAAAACAGCAGAGATTTCTTGAACAAGGAACTGGACAAAAAGTACAAACAAAGCAAGGAAAGCATGAAGCAACAACAGCAGAGATTTACTGAAAACAAAGAGGCTGGGCGCAGTGGCTCACGACTGTAATCCCAGCACTTTGGGAGTCTCAGGCGGGCGGATCACGAGGTCAGGAGATTGAGACCATGGTGAAACCCCATCTCTACTAAAAATACAAAAAATTAGCC
The DNA here is from genome assembly GCF_000001405.40 of Homo sapiens. Classification (NCBI taxonomy): domain Eukaryota; kingdom Metazoa; phylum Chordata; class Mammalia; order Primates; family Hominidae; genus Homo; species Homo sapiens. The sequence continues at coordinate 114,554,218 of NC_000004.12, forward strand.
AGGCGTGGCGGCAGGCGCCTGTAGTCCCAGCTACTCAGGAGGTTGAGGCAGGAGAATGCTGTGAACCTGGGAGGCAGAGCTTGCAGTCAGTGAGCCGAGATTGTGCCACTGCACTCCAGCCTGGGTGACAGAGCGAGACTCTGTCTCAAAAAAAAAAAAAAAAAAGAAAAGAAAAAAAAAAGTACATTCCACAGGGTGGGAGCAGGCCTAAGCACAGGGGCTCAAGAGACCCATTACAGAATTTTCTGGGGTTTAAATGTCCTCTAGAATTTTCCATTGTTTACTTGTTGTACAACCTATGTAAATGAAGAGGATGAAGTAAAATTACAAAGTCATTTACTTGGTGTATGCCCTATGTAAATGAAGAAGGTATTTCCTGTCTTAGCTGAAGGGTTTCCATGTAAATCAAAACTGTTTCCATTTAAATCAGTTTTAGGAAGTCATTGTGAATTGACCTTATGTTCTCTGCCTCCAGACCCTAATCTCCTGCCTCTTTTTCCCCCTGAGAGATGTGATCCCCATAAATCTTTATGGAAGATGGAAAAACTGATGGTCTTCCTTCTGTAACAGCTTCATGCTGGCTTGGGGTATAGTACCTACCTATTGGGGATCATGAAACTCTTGCCCTGCCCTGTCTAGTGGAGTCAGGGTAGTTCCTTGATGGCCACAGGTGGTGACTTCACCCGGAACTGGCTGGAACACTTGTTGCATGATCATCTGAAGCTTGATGGTCTCTAGGTGAGAGGAATTGAATTTGGTTAAAAAATTTAATGGAGACTTAAGGGAGTGGATACCTATGCTGTCAGGAATGTTTGTTATAGAGATTTGCAGGAGAAAAGCAAAATCTAGTCTGTGGTCTGTTCTAGGATCTATGTCTTTCCTTAAAGTCTTAGCATGAACAACTCCATTTTGGTTTAGGTTTGGTGTGTTGGGGCCTAGCGCATGATCTCAGCCCAAAACAATGACCTCTCATAATTGTTTTAAAAAATTTCCCCTTTTTGGTCACGTTCTCACTTAGGTGAGAGTGTGACCAAAACTTAGGGCCTCTGGTCTCAGCATGTCATTCATAGATTATAGCGTCCTCATGGTCACACATTTCTTTCAGCTCTTGTCATTCTAGTTAAAGAGAGACCATTTGACATTCTAGAGGCCATTGTATGCAAACATTTAAAATCTTTGAGAGAATACAGTGCACCAGTGAGACTATTATTATGATTATCACTAGGATAATACCAAGAGTTTGGAGTATGCTTCTTACCCAGGGTCTCTATAAACCAAACCTCCTAAAATCAAATAGATCAAAGAATGAGCTAAATAAAGAGTCTACTCACTTAACTAAGCAGTGGCTTCATTAATCCGTTTTCTGGGGTTTAAATACCCTTTAGAGTTTTCCATTCATTATTTGTTGTACAATCTATGTAAATGAAGAGAATAAAATAAAGTTACAAAGTCATTTACTTTGTACACTATGACTGAATCTCTGTAATATCTAATGTTTTCTCCATACGCCATGAGTACCAGCAGCTGCACAGATACCTCTCTGTTCAGACAATTCTATCATAACCTTCACAAGAGAATTTAAAACCTGTTGTGTAACTGTAGCTTTTACAGTAGAATCTTCTATAAAGCCTATCACAAAGGATAGATTTCTAATCATTGCTTCTTTTATTCCAAACTATGGAAAAAGGACCTAACAAATGATGCCCTTCTAGAAGAGTGAAGGCCTCTTGGCAATGTGCTCTTTAACCCATAATATGAGTTTAGAGGAGTGAACCAATGTTCTGTTTCTGATTGATTATAATATATAAGGTTATCCATATATAGGCTGGCTGAAAACTCCTTCACAAATAAAAGTCTACCCCATAAGCCCACATAACAGACACGTTTTTCCACTTCTATTGTTCATAGAGGCATAAGCAAGGAAAAAAAATTCAAAGATAAGTCTCTTAATAGTAGAGAAGTCTTGACCCATGATCTTGGGAAAAGCTGTTCAGATCAAGGATGCCATCTTTTCTGGGGAGTAACTTTCCTGATTAGCTTTACCTTAAGGGTTTCAGGGGGTGTACAGTCCCAAGAGTGTGATGGGACACTGCTCAATTGTGAGATTATGAACCCAAGGTTTAAGGTCCTGAAGTTTTGCCGTATTGTGGATATCAAGGACAGTCTTTCTCTGATGTTCTCAGAAGATATAATCTTTGGGTTCTAGATTGTGAAGGGGTTGATTGTCCTCAGTCATAAGAGGCTTCTTTATTTGACAAAAATACATTGTAGCATAATAATTTACTGTTATAACATCAGTCTTTTTTTTTTTTTTTTTTTTTTAGATGAAGTCTCACTCTGTCTCCCAGGCTGGAGTGCAATGGTGCGGTCTTGGCTCACACTGCAACCTCCACCTCCTGGGTTCAAGCAATTCTCCTCCCTCAGCCTCCCCAGTAGCTGGAACTATAGATGTGTGCCAGGAGACCCAGCTAATTTTTTGTATTTTTAGTAGAGATGGGGTTTCACCATGTTAGCCAGGATGGTCTTGATCTCCTGACCTTGTGATCCTCCTGCCTCAGCCTCCCGAAGTGCTAGGATTACAGGCGTGAGCCACCATGCCCAGCCAACATCAGCCTTCTTGCATGGGAAAGCTTTTATACAACAAGAAAACATGCACTGAAAATGTCAATTGAATGAAATCCGTATATAAAATGTTTAAATCATCCATCAGGTGACCAAATGTACCTGAAGCTTTAATTGTTTTCCCAGGAAGATGAGACCAAACATTGGTTATCAACTATTTTAACAAATGATAAGTAACCACAAAAATATATTCAATTTGGATTTTATTTTTTCCATGATGAATCATGGAATGTAGAACTTTTAATAACAAAAGCTTTAAGGACTCAGGAAGGACAAGGTGATCATCCTGGTTCTCCATGAGTCCATGTTTAAATAACATTAGACTTATATCCTCCTGAATACCAGTTGTTTTACCAAGTTAGGTGCATAGCACTGATAACTGATGGATTGTCAAGGTAATTTGACCTAGACCATGGAGTTCAAATTGTATATCTAAACAATTTCCATATCTGCTGGTAAAACATGAAAATCTGATGACATATTTTCTTGGTATTCAATTAATTGTTTGTTCTACTTGGATTAGTAGCTTTATACAAGGAAATTGGTTATTTCTGTAGTTTACAATAACTTAATATAATAACCATAATTATAATTGATAGCATATACTCAGACATATTAGAATTTAAGAAATCCTTATGATTTTGTAACATATATTAATATCATTGACTAAAATATAAAATGAAGATTAAACTTTTTTTTGGACAATGCTTCCCTTATAACATGTCAAGTAATCCTATTTACCTCTCTTTTGGATATTTCAAGAGCCTTCTGCAGCATCTCAAAGTTAGAAGTCAGAAAAGGCTATTTTGAAGATGAAATTTGATTTTGGGAGGCCTATCAAATATGTTAAACGTTTAAAACATTGATATTATGAAATAGAATTCCAGGTTACCATAAGACATTCATTTAGCCAAAATGATGACTCAAAAATTTAAAAGGCAAAAACCTTTACTCATTGATAGGGGAAGAAGACCTAGCTTTCCAAATAATTGGTCTCTTGCCTTTCCTTTTATTTAATTTTTTGGTATTTTATTCAAAAGCCAAACAAAAATATTTCATTATCTTTTAATATTACATGAAAATCTTGTTCAAGAGAGAAAGCCAAATTTTACCCTTGCATTAGTGTACCATTAATGTCAGCTCCAATTTTTAATAACCCTATAGACAAATCTTTCCAATTTTAATCAGTATCATCATAAGGTGAGATTCTCATAAACCTTTTATAAGCCTTTACAAATTTTTGTTAAAGATCAGTGCTTTAAGAAAACCCTGTTTGTGCTTTTATTTCAATGTTCAATTTATGCAGAAACCAGAAAATGACCCTTTAAATTTAGTCAGTATGTTCATACACATAGTGTTTTACAAGATTAATTTTTTTTTACAACCCTTCCACAACTTGTTCAAACCTTTAGCTTTATCCTAACTTAAAACAATCCTTTAACCCTTTAGGCAAAAACAACAACAAAAAAAATCCACATTCCCATGCCTTCTTATAATCTTTTACTAAATCACATTTCACTTTTTTTACATACCTTGCATGTAAAACTGTTTCTTCAGTAGTCTCAATAACAATGTTAACGCTTAGCGACTTTTACTTTTGGCCAAAACCTTGTTAAGTTTGGGACTTGAAGTATGTATTAGTTGTGGAGCCTAGGACTCAGACAGAAGTGCAGATAAGTTCTGACTCTTTCCAGTGTCTACCTCCAAGTGTCCCAGGCTTTACCTAGCTGTAAAGCAGGCATGTTGTACAGTTAAGAGTCATAGTGACATTTTTGAGCATTCAGGAGGCCAAATGACCTTTAAATTGTACATTTCTTGCATAAACTCTCTTTCATAAATTCTTTCACAACTTACATAGACTATCCATGACATGCTTGGACTTTCTGACTTGTCCTAAACATCCCTCTTTTAAACAACCAGTTATTTTACTTTAAGACAAAAATTTACCATACAAGATCCTTTCTTATATAAAGCCTCTTTTTTTTGGTAACCTTCTCTGCATAGCTAGGGGGCATGGCTAATTTCCTATGTCCCCAGGCTTTATTTAAAATCAAATGCTCCAAAATACATTGAACAATTTTTTAAAAGTCAAAGAAGTAGTTTATGACCTTAAAGCATTTAGCAAACCTAATATCTGATCTGCATATTTAAATGAAATGTTTACATTTTTGAAGATTTTTATTTTACCAATAATCTTTAAAACTTTTTTAAAGATTACTTAAGTCACAGGAACTAAATAAAAGGCATTACACTTTTCGGACAAAATATTTGATTGAAGCTCTTATTATTAAACCAATTAATTATAGTTCTTTCATATTACACATATAACACATTTAAATATAGACAGAAGATAAAGGAATTGTTCCCTAAGTCAGAAATTGAACCCTAACCCGGTTACCATTGTAAAAAGAGAAAGCACAGCCACATGGTTACAAGGTCAATCTCCCAAGAATGTGGTGGGCCAGTTTGCTGGGCCATCTTGAACAGAGGGCCGATGAGGTCATAGGCATGCATTTTATTCTAAGATGTCCCTTTTTATAACAGAGCAATATAGAAAGACGTACAAAACACAACATATTCACTACAGTTTAACATTAGCCTCAGAATTTTTTTTAAATTAATCAAAATTATACAGAGGAGATAAACACTAACAGTAACTTTCATTATTTATTTATCCAGTTTGCACAGAGAGAGAGAGGCCAGAGTCTGACTGGTAAGAAATTTTTACCCTTTTGCCAGCATGCCAGGTTTCTGAGTTCTCTCTCCCTGAGCAGCCTTAGCAACCCTGCTAAACTATATGCAAACAAATACATTGCCATGAATTAAGAATATTCACAAATAGTTTACAAATTTTGGAGAAATTAGAGAGAAATATGACTCAAATTATGTTTACAAGAGTATACTCAACACCCTTAAAGTATCAGGAAGCCTAAAATCCAAAAAGTTAGTTTAAGGTTAAAAAGCTGGTGTGTTCCATCAATACCTAGGGGGCCTGATGAAGGTAGCCTAGGAATTCCAGATAAGTGGAACAAATGATGACTTGCTAGAAATGCATAGGAAACAAAATATCTATTAAAGAACCAAATAAAGGCCTTCCACTGGAAACTAAATATATATATATATATATATATACACACATACACACACATACACAGATATAAAACCATATATATATGGTTTTATACAGAAAGTGTCAGGAAGCCTAAAACCATATATATATGGTTTTATATCTGCATACATAGGCAAAGCCAAAGAATAAACAGCAAATGAATGAAAACTGGTAGCCAAAACAAATAGGAAACCGACCCTAAATTTTTCCTACTCAATCTACCCTGGAGGCTATAGTGTTATCCAGGGCCCTTAAAAACCCACATAATGAATATTTTATTCCTAATACACAATTCAATATCCTCAAGTTTACCAATATCATACAATCCTGTGCAATTAAGAAATTCATTTTAGGTACATGACCAATAAGTACTCCAGTGCCGGCACTATCCACGCAAAACAGTAAACATAGTGCAAAGCAACGCAAGCATGTATATGAAATTTGAATTGCTACAAAAAGAATTGCCAAACTGCTGATGCTTTTTTTTTTTAACAATACTTCTTATTTTACTTTAATCAAGACTCAGAGCTTTAACTATGAAAATGTTAATTAGCCAAATGTCTCCAATTCTCTACTGGGTTTTAAAGAGTATTTTATAATCTAAACATTTCCCACATCTTTCTCCCCACCTTCTGGTTTGTTACTACATGGTTTCATAAACAACCTTTTCAAATCGGTAATTTGAACTATTAGGTAACTTTTGAATTAGACAAAATTATTCTTTTCCTCACTAATAACATAACCTTTTCTGACACATTTGATATACAGAATTATGTATTAAGTAGAATTCATTTCCTTAGTAAACTAAAATTTTAGTGCAACCCTAAAAAGCAAGAAATCCTGAACCATCAGATATGGGCATTAATAGATAAGAATAAATCCACAATTTTAGAAACATGGTTCCCCATATCATAACCCTTTAACTGGAAATGATGCAGATATTAAATGAGCATCAAAATGTTTTAAGATTTTAATTTAAATAAAAAGTTTACCTAAAGTGTTATCCCATTCACTGTACTCAATTCTTTTACTTTTATCAGTTTATCTAGATTACTTCCGTAAACTGAGATATTAGACACTATCATTTAAAGTTAGTTACCTCCTTGTTAAACACATTTTTAGTAGTCTGTGAACATCAGGTGCTTACCTAAACCTAAGTAAGACCCTCAAAGTTAAATACATAGGTATTTTTGCCAATAACTCAGAAGATTTAGCTAACAGTAAATTTGTAAACCCTGAAAATGTGAGACAGGTCTCAGTTAATTTAGAAAGTTTATTTTTCCAAGGTTGAAGACGCATGCCCGTGACACAGCCTCAAGAGGCTTGGTTTTATACATTTTAGGGAGACGTGGCATCAGTCAACATATGTAAAATGGGACAGCTGGAACTGGGAAGGGGGCTTCCAAGTCACAGGTACTTGAGAGACAAATAGCTGCATTCTTTTGAGCTTCTCATTAGCCTTAGGAGATGGTGCAGGAAGAAGGTAATTTTTCCCTGAAGCCCAGCCATCTCTGGCCAGGCTCCCCTCCAAAACTGCACCATCTGAAGTTAGCCATCCTTATCCATAGTCTCCAATGTTCAGTTACCTCTCTGCTCACTGCTCAGTCACTTTTATCCCCGACATTCAGCAGTTTGTATCCCTGAGGCTCAGCTGCTTGTGTTGCTGTAGCTTTCTTCTGCCAGCTGGGCTGGTTTTTATGGGCACAGGATAGGGGGCAGGGTGGGTCAAAAAGGCAATCATTTGGAAAAATGGGGTCAGTTGCTTTCACTTAAGGCCTAGGTCCCAGGCTTGAGCGTGGAGTGTAGCCAGGAGCCCAGCCCTTCTGTATCAGGGTCAGCTGTTTTCACTTAGGGCTGAGGTTCCAGGTTTGAGGGTGGAGTTTGGCAAGGAGCCCTGCCTTCTGTATCAATGGAGGGAGGAAAACTTGCCTTCCTTGTTGGAAACAAGTAAAACTCAAAAAACAAACAAACAAAAAAGAGTTGTACAGCAAAATAAACATTAGATCTCAACCAAATTTTGGGAGAATAGGGATTCTCTGGAGGGGGTGCTTCCAGGCCTCGGCAAATTGTCCTGTTGGTTTGAGCCATAAGGTTAGCTCAAGATGGTACCAGGCACCCATAGATTTTTCAAAGGTCAGGGGCATCTCCACTCAGAATCTCTTCATAGTTACCAAATGAACCCTGAATATCTGAGACAGGTCCCAGTCAATTCAGAAAGTTTATTTTGCCATGGTTAAGGATGCATGCCTGTGCCACAGCCTCAGGAGGTCCTGACAACATGTGCCCAAGGTGGCTGGGGCACAGCTTGGTTTTATACATTTTAAGGAAACATGAGACATCAATCAGTAGTCGAAAAGGCAAGGCAACTGGAATCAAAGGCAGGACAACTCAAAGTAGGGAGGGGACTTCCAGGTCATAGGTAGATAAGAGACAAAGGGCTGCATTCTTTTGAGTTTCTAATTAGCCTTTTCAAAGGAGGCAATCAGATATGCATTTATCTCAGTGAGCAGAGGGCTAACTTTGAATAGAATGTGAGGCAGGTTTGCCCTAAGCAGTTGCCAGCTTGACTTTTCCCTTTAGCTCAGTGATTTTGGGGTTCCAAGGTTTATTTTCCTTTCACACTATCTTGCATATTAAGAGGTCCTTTCTTATTCTCACTCTTCCTCCAAAAAATAACCCCAAAAGCTAATACATAAACATTAAATACTCTATAAAGTACTCACGTTTTAAATATTTAACCCAGTTAGACCATAACAGCAGGGCAGGAACTGCATATTCTGTCTTATTTGCATTATAAAACTAGCACTTGGCACAGTACCTAGCATATAAGTGATTAAAATGTTTGCTGATCAAATGAAAGTCATATCTATCACTTGTTAAAATTCTCCAAATAAGAACTTAAAAAAAAAATTCACTTATATTTACAATTGCAGTGGTGTGGAAAATAATAGGAGCAGTAGCAGCAAAAACAACAATCTAGTAGTTTTAAACCTGAAAACAGAAAACTCACAAATTTCTTTATGGCATTTATTCTGGATAGAAAAAAGTATAGACATTCTAATTATCCATTGTAGATGTGAAAAGTTATGTTTCTGACTACCACTTTAGACACCTGAAAGCCCAAATTAGTTGCTAGCTAGGTGGATATCTGTTTCTCTCCCTCTATATGAGTATATAGAGAGATATATTGGCTACATTTTATATGTTTTAATAATATAGTCACTATATATCTAGCTAATCTATTTATATATGGCTATGTATTAGCTATGTTATAGGCATATATCCAGTTCTATATCTATCTATATGGCTATATTAGAATTGGAAATACTGTTTAAAGAAATCCATGTGATTGTATGAACAATAGATTTAAATATGAGAGTTTCTAAGCTTTAAACTTGTTTTTGTTAATTTATTTCTTTGCTGTTCTACCTCCTACTATTATTTATTTAGAAAATGATGACAAACAAGTGGAATATCACATATGTTAGCACAGTGATAAGAATCTTTCACAATAGATAACAGCTGTGGTTGGGAGACTGGCCCAACTTTAGTTTCTGAATATATCACTTAATAGCTGTATGTATGACCTGGTGTGGGTCAATGTCCACTCAGAAGAGACTGCTCCTATGCATGAAGTTGTTAATTAGGTCAGAACAAACAGTGATTCATTGACATTGAGGACCTTAGGGGAGGGTTCCTGCGGGAGTGGGACCTGGCTCTCTGAGGAGAGGAGCTTGATAAAGCTGATTCTGCAAGTGTTGGAAAACCACAAACTACATTCTTATGCAATTACAAAAAGGACTTCTGCTGCTTCAGTGGGGAACTATGCCCAGCTAATATATGCCCAGTGGGAGCACGACCAGATAAGAAGAATACAGGAAACCCACGGGAAGCAGCCTGGAAAGTCTCCTGTCTTCCACCTCCTGCCTTGCAGTCACCCTCTTGCATCCCCTCTTGGCAGAGCCTAGCATAGATCCAGCTAGAAAAGCAGAAATGTGGCTTTCCAGCCTTAGAATTTCAAAGCCAGCTGAGGAGAGAAAGGTATTTTGAAGCTGGGATATAGGTTAATAATTAGTGCAGGTAGCATAGTGACAAGAAGTATATTGCATGGAAGATAAGAGCTGGGACTGGTAGATTGCTTAAATTTAGCACCTGACCCCAACATTTAATAGCTATATGACCTTTGGCTACTTATGCTTGATAAAATCAATTGGCCCCAGGTATAATATGGGAACAATGTCAACATCATGAAGTTGCTGTGAGAAGTAAATTTGATAACGAAGTAAACTGCTTAGCGTGCTGCCAGGCATAGCAGTATGTAACAAATGTTAACAGCTACACATTTTATTTGCTTCATATAGCAAGACAGTGACTTGATTATTTAAGTAAAATCTTTTGATTATATTGTAGCTCAGTTCTCAATTTCTGAACTAGAAAGTATTGGATTTTCAGTAACATGCCTGGAAATTAATATGCACATTTCAAACAACAGGAATTTGAAAGTCAACTATCATTCATTTATTCATCATTTTCCCATTATGTACATATATTTTTCATTATATAATTTACAGTTTAGCTTAAGGATGCAAACAACTAAGCAATTACATTAAAGCAGCATAAGGGCCACACTAGGAGAAGTATAAGGATATAGTAGAGATGAACAACCAACCCTGAGAAGAGCTCAGAGGATATTTTCTGAAGGAAAGAGAACTAAAGTGAGTCAGGCAAAGTTTGCAAGAAGAGAGGCATACTACTTACCTTTTAAAATTAAAAACGAAGAATTTACAAATGAAGGTTTGGCAACATTAGTGACAATGGAGAAGCTGATATTCAAGGAACATATTAAAGATCTTCATATTGCACAGTGAGAATGTTTAGTCCCATCTCTTGAAATGACTAGGACAATCTCATATGCTTCTTTTCAGTCCCTCTCAATAACTCAGTGGGGTGCTGAGTCAAGACTCAATATACACATGTTGAGAAGTACAGTTCTATAGTTTTGCATTGTTGTGGCTCAGGTCTGTCTGGTTAATTAATATCTGTTTCACATTGAGCTAAACACCTTGACATATTGGAACAGAGATTACAAAGTGAGAAAGGAAAAGAATAGTATGCTGTTAATCATGTGTGTGTGTATTATATACTTTCAAAATCCTTTCACACACATATATATATGTCATATATAATATATAAGCTATATATACTATATATAGCATTTTCACCAATAGCTGGGCATTCCTACCTACAAGACTGAAGGAGTGATGCTTCAAACCCATTGCATCATTTTTTATCCCTCTTTTTTTTTTTTTGGCTTTCTACATCCATTGTGTTACAGAGATGAAAGAACTATTATTATGAACATATCAGCAGAGTTATCATTTCAGTGTGAAAGGACTCTAGATGTTCCTGACTTCTATTTACAATTGAAATAACAACTTAATTATAAAAGATAAATTAAATTTTTGTATGTAATTTGCATACATGATTATTTGTTGGGTAACATCATTGGCCAGGAAACATAGCCTCTTAGTTCAATTCCAGACCTGCTTTTAATTATCTCGCATTCTCTGAGCCAATAAGGAAAACTTTGGCCTAGACTACTATTTCTTTGTACATGTGAGATTTATCATCAGGCTGCCTTCAATGATTCTACAAATGACTCCTGAGACAAGGCTTTCAAAGCTATTTGGTCTTCCCTGGGGAACCGGTACCTTGCATGATATCATCATTAAATAAGAAAATGCATCCATATGTACCTGAGAAATAATGATAACATAATGATGATAATTCTTTACACTTTGTGTAATCAAACTGTATTAAGAAAAGAAAAATGATGAGGCTAAAGTGATTAAAACAATGTAATACAGGTACAAGATAAGCAAAGATACTAGTGCAACAGAAGAAAGTGTCCAGATTTAGAACCACACACTAACCTAATTCAGGTAAAAACTACTATTGCGATAAAATAGAGTCTGCAAAATAAATGCTTAATCAATTGGCTATTTCTTAAAAGCAGTTATTATGTATTTCCTCCTTCTATTCTGCTTTGGTGTAAAAGTCTTGATGTAGCTCAGGTATTTCAAGTCATCAGGATTGACAGTAAATCTTCATATTTCTTCCTTGAGTAGTTCTCACCACCTGAAATGGCTGTTGAGAAGTAACTGAGCAGATATTTGCCTTTCTAAACATGAATATTACTTTATTATATACATATAGAGGAAGAGAGTAAAGTTATAAATTTGTGACTCTTCATTTCCTCTGGATTATTTAATTTTTTCCTAAAATGGGAGAGTGCTAAGAATAGTAATCATAATCGCAGCTTATGGAATTTTTGTGCAAGGCAATGTGTTTGGACTTCATACGTGAAATCTCATTCAGTGACAATTTAACTGGTAAACTTAAAAAAATAATTAAACAGGTTTTAAAAAGGGGCAAGAGAGTATTTTTATAATATTTTCTAACATGAAAGGAAGAATGCCAAAATATAAATGTGTCTATATGTGTGTGTAGTATGTGTTGAGAAGAAACTAGCTTTGGGGTGAATAATTGGAAAACACAGAGATTCTTGATGTCAATTTTAGCAGAGACAGTATACAATTGCAAAATAGGGCTGCTCATAGCAAATACAGAAAATCCATAAATTGTTCATTAATCAAATGGAGAAAAAGACTCAAGAAGAATAAATGCTTTTTTCTAAAGTTGTACAAGTAGAGAGAACGCAGAGAGAGGGTGCTTATCTTCCAGGCCAGATCAGGTCAATAAATAAGCATGTGCTAAACATCTTCCTTGCTAAATGTCAGAGTAAGATGAAGTTTTTCAGAAATGTTCAATTTAGTAGAGTTTCCAACTCTACATAGACTTCTACCATATTAAGAGAAGTAATGTGTAGGCAAGGCACAAACTTAGGGTCCTCGTGATTAAAAATACATCTATGCCCAGAGTGACGTGCTGTGTTATATATATGTGCATGTGTGTATGCGTGTGTGTGTTAAATTACAATATAAATAGGAAAGTTAAAATAACTTTTTTTTGGAAAAACAAAGTAGGAAAATGCAACAGGCCAAAGGCAAACAATCTGTTATGGAAACATCTTACACTGGGGTACAATAAATATTCATCAAATTAATATAAACATAATACACTAAGATCCTATGTCAGTTATACTTTCAAAATATCTGATCATCCTTCACTATTTTATATTTGCCTGTTATTGTCATATATTTAAGTTAAAAAGAAGAGTAACTCCACATCTGGGAGGCATACTCACTGATACTAACTTTCTTTGTGGACTGATTTCCCTTCTTTTAAGTGTAGTTAAAATCAAATTCAACTATTTTGTTACGAAAACTACACTACTGCTCCTCCGGGGTAATTTTCATAAATACTACTTATATGACTCCTAAGTGAACATCTAAAGTTCTAAATAACTTTATGGTTTTCTAATTACTTACTTCGGTAATTAAGACATTTACACGGCAGAGCAAACTACTTAACTTGTGAAGGGCTGTGCCAACTACGATGGCTATATAATCTATAACGTTTTTGTTGTTGCTACTAATGTGTGGGCCAAGTCCATGCTCAGATATGCAATTGTGGATCTATGTAATCTATATTGCTTCTAAAAACCTAGGTAATTATTTTATATTATGAAGTTTCTCATGTAGGAGTATATCTTTGAATATGACAGTAGCGGGCCTAATGAAAAATATAGGGTCTATTATGACACATTTAAGTAGGCTACTTCCCCATAAGCTGAATTTCCCAACACTTTAAGTCAATAGGAAGATTACATTTGCTACCAGGTAATAATCATAAAATCATAATAAATTTCTATTTTCAAGCAAGTGTTCTTCAATCTATTACTTACTTAAGATTGACTGCAACTCAGTTATCCAATAGCATTTATCAAGTGCCTATTATGTTCTGAGCACTTAGGAGAAATGTCTGTAATAACTATCTTACTTCAAAGATACAGTTTTAAATATATATATTTTATGCTAAGCTGATATGTTTGAGGCTAGTATTAAAATTAGTTTCTTTTGAAGGTAACTATACACATACAAACTGATTTTAAACATAATTTCTAATATAACTGCATAAAATAATATTGCCCTTCAGGTAGATTTCGGGATGTCCTTCCTGTCTGTTCTCAAAGTAGGTTTAGAATATTCCACTTGGAATTGTTTCTAGAATATGTTAACAAGCCATAATAAGCATATAAGATGTTTCTTAGTAGTCACTATTTTTGGACCAAAATATTGCCATACACAGCTTGACTACCTATCCAATTCTCCGGGCTTGGCTCAAAATAGCATTTATGTATTTCCAATAAGCAAATTTATTCACGAAAGACAAAGATTTCTTATTACTAAAATTAGTCCTAAGAGCTATGCCATAGGCTAATGGCAATGCTTTAAGATTAGTTCTTAGCCTGGCACGGTGGCTCACGCCTGTAATCCTAGCAATTTGGGAGGCCAAGGCGGGTGGATCACCTGAGGTCAGGAGTTCGAGACGAACCTGGTGAAACCCTGTCTCTACTAAAAATATGAAAATTAGCTGGTTGTGGTGGTGGGCACCTGTAATCCCAGCTACTCAGGAGGCTGAGGCAGGAGAATCACTTGAACCTGGGAGGCGGAGGTTGCAGCAAGCCAAGATCGTGCCACTGCACGCACTCCAGCCTGGGCGACAGAGCGAGACTCCGTCTTAAAAAAGAAGAAGAAGAAAAAAAGATTAGTTCTGGCTTTCTTTGACCAGTGGCTACTTTGGAAGTATTCAGTTTCTCAAGGTAAGTACTTTATAGGAAAACATTCATGTGTATGTCTAAGTTCTGGTATTTTTGTTAAAATGATGTTTCATTAATTTATATTACTTGATATAGGCATTGAGAGTTAAAATGTAATGATTATCTCTGCCATTTCACAGCTCTTACTGCCACTTCACCCAAGCTTTAACAAAATCATCTGAAGGTAAGCATTAAAGCAATAATGGATTTTCAGGTATTTTTACTAATTAATGAAATCAAGGCCAACAAATATCTACTGTCTATATCACAGTAATTACAGAGACTATCTTTTGTGATGTTATAGGCACTAATGGTTTCTTTTCCAAGAGTTATTTTTCTTCCATCACTGTTAATAGAATCTCGATTTTGTTCAGGCATGATGTGCCAGCCCTAGTGGGTGTATTTCAACTGTCTGGGTACATCATAGCAGTACGCTTCCTTCATGTCAGTTATTGTACTCTATAACTTGGCCAGTGAGAAGTGAAATCTGTTAAGAAATGTCTTCTAGACAGGCGCGGTGGCTCACGCCTGTAATCCCAGCACTTTGGGAGGCCGAGGCGGGCGGATCACGAGGTCAGGAGATTGAGACCATCCTGGCGAACATGGGGAAACTAAAAATTTTTAGTCTCTACTAAAAATACAAAAAAATTAGCTGGGCGTGGTGGCGGGCGCCTGTAGTCCCAGCTACTCGGGAGGCTGAGGCAGGAGAATGGCGTGAACCCGGGAGGCGGAGCTTGCAGTGAGCCGAGATTGCGCCACTGCGTTCCAGCCTGGGCGACAGAGCGAGACTCCATCTCACAAAAAAAAAAAAAGTCTTCTAATAAAGACATTCCTTATAAAAGAGAAGTGCTCAAGAAAAAAATTCTCTGTTCCTGTCTTTGCCTAGCCTTCTGGCTTGGAATACTAGATGTGCAGCTATGGCATTCATATTGCAACCATAAAAGTAGAAGATAGAAAAAGCCTAAATCCTGATATCACCATTGAATCACTGCACCAAACTTCGGATCTCCAACCTCCAGGCTTCTTACTATATGAGATCAAGATCTTATTATTTATGCTACTGTAGATGTGTAATGCAGTATTTGCTGATGAGAGCATCCTAACTGATACAAGGAATAAGAAGCATGCAGCAACTTTCAAGTGATGATCAAAAGGCATTTTGATGATGTGTAAAAGCTATTGATTCTGTAGCTATCAGAAGCAGAGATATAGTTTCCCCTAAATAAATAACTAACATGAATTCCCTGATTTTAATAAAATATGTCTATCAGAATCAGTAAGTATTTTTTTTTGACTTTTTTTTTTTTTTTTTTTTTTGAGACAAGGTCTTTCTCTGTCACCCAGGCTGGATTGCAGTGGCACGATCTCAGCTCACTGAAGCCCCAACCTCCTGGGCTTCAACAATCCCCCCACCTCAGCTTCCTGAGTAGCTAGGATGACAGGCATGTATTACCACACCCTGCTAATTTTTGTATTTTTGGTAGAGATGGGGTTTTGTCATGTTGCACAGGCTGAGTACTCTTATCATTGCAACATATTTATATCACACATTCTGATTACCTTTCTGTTTATTTTGCATAGCATCTTTTACATCTTGCATTGCCATCATAAGTCTTGTATCAGTATTTCTTTATGGTTTCTTATTTTAGAAAACATCAAGTCTCTTTTTCTGTAAGTATATCAGGTTATAGTTTTCTTTCAACATTCACTCAGGAAATGATTATGTGTGAGTATGTGGATTTGAGGGGAAGTTATAAGAGGTAAGATCAAATATTAGAATGAAAAGGTATCATTCATGTCTACAAGGAACTCACATTCTTAAAGGAATTTGAGATGTACTTAAATCAGCACAGACTCTATTAATTTCAAGAGAAAGACCTGACCAAAGAGCTATGGGTGCATGATGGAAGTCGGGGAGATCATTTCAGGAATGCCTCACCACGGAGCTGACATTTCAAAGATGGTTAGTATTTCTTTTTAATGGAAACGGGGAAGCATATGTTCTGCAACTTTTTTTTTTACCATACAGCACATGTCCATAGCTTGGAGACTCTTTAGTTTTGCTGGAGTGAAGGTTTTACAAAAGGATGCAGTCAGTTCAGGTTGTAACTCAAAGATTGAATGTCTATTCAATGTCTGCATTGAATGCCTATTGAATGTCTGCAATTAGTTTCTAATTTTTCCTCATTCTATTTATGTTCATCTGATCCAAAAAAAATTCTGTAAGAGGTTTTCATCATATAAATATTTGGTCCACCTGTGCAAGCCATGTAAATGTATGTATTTGTGGGGAATTGTAGTGGAATAAGCAGGTGTGCTTGCCTTTTCCTCAACTTAAGATGACTTTTTATTTATTCTTATTATCAGATCCTTCCTATTTCCTAAAATTCTTCATAGCCACCATGGAAATTTGAATGATCTAAGATGGAGTCATCTGGTTAATCAGCTTGACTCATGCTACATTTCAAATTATGTGAAAAAACATAATGGTGTCAGGAGTTGCCATAAAAGATATTATTTAACTCTCTAGGAAGTAAATGTTTTCATTCAGCTGCTCCTATTGCCAAGTAGCCATTCATTTATTCATCCATTTAACACAGGATTTTTAGCATACCACAAGCCAGGTAGGTTTCCAGCAGTGAAGATACAAAGGTGAATATAAAAACCAAAGTCCCTCCACTCATGGAGATTAAATTTTGTGGTAGCTTCTATTAGTTTGAAAACAAATTATCTATCAAATTCTGTTCAAATGTGATTTTTCTCCAGAAAACTTTCTCAAACACTTTTTTGGCTCTGTTCCCATATTACTCTGTTGTTAGCACTACTAGAATTTTCTTTCTCTATAGCAATGATTTGCTCTTCTCTCTCTCTCTCCTTCCTATTTATTTCCCTTCACCCCTCTTAATAGGCTGTCACCTACTTTAAGACAAAAACCAATATCTTATAATCTTTGCATTAAAATAAAATATACTCAATAAATATTTATAAGTAAGTGAATGAATATAGCAAATATTCAGTATCCACTCTATTTGTGAAAACTTTGGGGCCTTTTCAGCAAGATCCTTCTCAACTTCATGGAAATGCATAAACTTAAATAGAATGCACTGAATAGAATCCATTCAGTATATGGAGCTCCAAGAATATGAAACAAACTTGAGATTCCATAATACATCATGAATCTTTGATGGTAGATTTAATTAGCAGTCAGCAGTAACAGTGTTTTAGCTTGAACCTCTGGGCTATAAGATACAAAACTCTTAAAATTATATTGGAGGGAAATGTAGGCAATTGCTCCAAATGTTTCAGATGGTTTGAAGCTGGGAGTTTTTATGATTTTAGGTTAATACAGTTGGTAATGATGCTATGTATTATCTAGTTGTGCCTATGTTACATCATACTATTCTACGTTGTATTGAGAGTCTGTGGGAAAACATACAAGGAAGTTGTTTCCTAGAAACGAAATTAAAATTGAGTTGCAAAGGAAGGCATTGTTGAACAGTGTACTTCATTTTCACCATGTCTAAATATATTGGGGAAGAATAACATTTAGAAGTTGAGTAGCAACAACCTACAAGACTTCAGTTAATGTAGTGTCTACTATATCCAAGTTCTCTGCACCAAGGCTTAATCAATTTAGAAAAAACTGATTTGACCATTGAAGGCCAATTAAGAAGTAACTATATTTTTTCCTATATAGTGCATGGCAGGGGTCCCCAACCCCTGTGCCACAGACCAGTACTGGTCTGTGGCCTGTTAGGAACTGGGCCACACAGCAAGAGGTGAGTGGTGGGCAAGCAGCATTACCCGCTGAGCTCCACCTCCTGTCAGATCAGCAGCAGCATTAGATTCTCATAGGAGCAGGAACCCTATGGTGAACTGTACATGTGAGGGATCTGGCTTGCACACTCCTAATGAGAATCTAATGCCTGATGATTTGAGGTGGAACAGTTTCATCACAGAACCATCCCCCACCCCCTAGCCCCTGTCCATGGAAAAATTGTCTTCAAGGAAACCAATCCCTGGTGCCAAAAAGGTTGGGGACAGCTGGTGTATGGGTGTCCTTAGAAACTGCAAAGTATTCTCGGAAGTGGAATTTGGTGACATACATCCATAATATACCAGATACTTCAGAATATTCTCATATATGTGCTACTTCATTTAATCTTTACAACACCTCTGTGAAGTGGGAATCCTGTAGCCATTTTGCAAGTTGGAAAACTGAGGCAATGGTTGTATGTGCTATACTTAAGTTCACACATACTTAGTAAGGGACAGTACCATTGTAAAATTCCAAAGCTCTTTTCACTAGAGATAGCTGTCTCTGTGAGCTAGCCAAATATAAAGGGAGGCATGTTAGAGGACAGAGATAATAAGAAAAATCAGTTGACAATAAAGTATGTTGTAAGTGTGATGGGTGGGACGAGAACTTGTGTGTGGAGGTGATTCCCTTCTAGGAAAACTACCAGGAAGTGGGTGTGAAGAAAAGTAGAAAACGTTAAGAAATACTTAAGAAGGGAGGACTTAAGGAGAAAAGAAGAAACAGAAAATAGATTCCTATTCTTTTAAAAATGGATACTTTTCAGGCTGGACATGGTGGCTCATACCTGTAATCCCAGCACTTTGGGAGGCTGAGGTGGGCAGATCACCTGAGGTCAGGAGTTGGAGACCAGCCCGGCCAACATAGTGAAACCCCATCTCTACTAAAAATACAAAAATTAGCCAGGCCTGGTGGTGCGCATCTGTAGTCCTTGCTACTTGGAAGGCTGAGGCAGGAGAATTGCTTGAACCCGGGAGGCCGAGATTGCAGTGAGCCAAGATCATGCCACTGCACTCCAGCCTGGGCAACAGACAGAGTGAGATTCTGTAAGAAAAAAAAAAAAGAAAGAAAGAAAAAGATGATTTTTATTTACTTTATTTAATACTAATGGGGGCTGATTTTGAAATCCACTCCATTTTTCAGTACCATTTTAAGGGCTTTAAAAATAAGCATTTGTTGCAATTAAACTACCACTGTTATATTGCTATAGTTTAGTTAAAACTCCAGAATACAAATTATGTTTAATTCTAAGGTATTTCAAAAAAACACTTGTAATCACAGTTTACAATTATAATTTAATAATTATATTATCTCTAAAATTATTAGAATCAGGTGAGTACTTACAATTCAAGTGTCTCCGTTTTCTCATCTGCAACATGATGGGATAAAATAAATCTAAATCTGGCTGATAATCAAAATAAAATTGAAAGCTTCTATGTTTAACAATTTAAAAAAATATTTGAATAGTTTTAGATTTACAGAATACTAGTTAAAATAGTACAGGATTCTGATATACATCACATTTATCACCTCTTATAATTAACATCTTATTATTTACATTGATGTGGTACATTTGTTAAAATTAATTAACCAATATTAATCCACGATTATTAACTAAATCCATACTTTATTCACCTTTTCTTAATTTTTAATCTAATATCCTTTTTCTGTTCTTGGATCCCATCCAGGATACATTGCATTTAGTCAACATGCCTCCTTGGGTTGCTCTGTATGCAACTTTCTTATACTTTTCTTTCCTTCCTTCCTTCCTGCCTGCCTGCCTTCCTTCCTGCCTGCCTGTCTTCCTTCCTACCCTCCCTCCCTCCCTCCCTTCCTCTCTCTTCTCTCTTTCTCTCTTTTTCTCTTTCTTTGATGACCTTGACATATTTTGAGGAATACTGGGCAGATATTTTGAGGAATATTCTATTGACGGTTGTCTGATGATTGTTTTCATGATTAGATTGGGGTTATCAATTTTGGGAAGACTGGAGATTTTTTGGTGCATTTCTTTCTAATTTGGTGAATCTGGAGTAGTGCCTGAGAATTTAAAACTTTTCAAGTCTCCTCAGGGATCACCGATGACATTTTCTCTTCTAGTAGGTGCTGGTTGGTCTGTCTAGTGAAAAGCAGATACTAGTTAACATCTGAGGACCTACTCTTTTCTCTATTCTGGAAAAATTCTTAGTTAATATTTTTTATTTCTTTTGATATTTCCTTCTTTCTTTTCTTCTGAAACTCCAGTTACATATATCATTGAATCAATATATTCTTCAGGCCTTTTGGTGTGTATGTGTCTGTGTGTCTCTGTGTGTTCCTTTCCTCCATCCGGATTGAATTTCTCATCTTCAAATTTGCTAATTTCTCTTCATAAATGTGTAGAATTTATTCCATATAATGAACTTTTATTTTTAAGATTTCCATTTTCGTTTTCATGTTCAAACTTTTATTAGGACGTGTTTCTGCTTTCAAATTCTAATGACTTTTAATAGATGCTATTTCTTCATTAAGCATAACTGTTCCATATAATTAATTTCTCCTGCAAGGAATTCATGCTGGGACACTGTGGTTTTTGTTTGCCTTCCTTAGCAGTAGCGTTCTTCATAAGTCTTTGAATTTAGGTATACGTCTTCTTTCGACTGGAGGGAACGATTTTCTTTTATTTGGTCTCAGCTTCCTACACTAATAGTTTTCAAGTACCTGAAATTGCCATCACTTGGTACTCCTGATCCACCAATCCAGAACCAAGTTTTATAACTTTCTTTTTCTTTTTTTGTTTAGAGACTGTGTCTTGCTCTGTTGCTTAGAAGAGCAATGGCATGATCATAGCTCATAGCTCACTGTAACCTCAATCTTGAGTTCAAGCAATCCTCCTGCCTCAGCTTCCCAAAACACTGAGATTACAGGTGTGAGCCACCATGCCCTGCCTATAACAGCATTTTTAAGGGCACTGATAGGTGTGGGGAGTGGGTTCAAAGATCCAGCTGCTACTAGCAACTTGACTCAATTCCTGGTTTTAAGTTCTCATACTTATCTATAGCCATAGTTTTCTATTTAACCAGGTAACCAGCCTTTTTATTCAGACACTGTTCGCATATGTGGGTGTGCTGGTTCTGCCCTGGTTTCAAGCAGTGAACCTGGCCTTGATCCTTTTCTTGTGTAAGGTACTATATTAGGTATTCTCATATAACATATAACCACCAACTCAGCACATTAAAACAACACACATTCATTATCTTACACTTATCCCTACAATCATGGAAGAAGGGGAAGCAAACAAGTCCTTCTTCACATGATGACAGGAAGGAGAAGTACTGAGCAAAGACGGAAAAGCCTCTTATAAAATCATCAGATCTTGTGAGAACTCACTCACTATCATAAGAACTCACCCACTATCATGAGAACAGCAGCATGAGGTTAACCCACTCCAAGATTCAATTACCATCCCACGACATGTGAAGATTATAGGAACTACAATTCAAGATGAGATTTGGGTGGGGACACAGCCAAACCATATCACACCTTTACCATATTCTAGTGACTAGAAGCAAGTCACAGATTCCCACTACACACATAAGGTGGGAATTACAGAAGGCATGAATGCCAGGGGGTGAGAATCATTGAATCACCTTAGGGTCCATCTGCTATATGCACCCTTAGTCCCAAAATCACCATCTATGTTCTGTCCCAGAAGTCACAGCCTTTGGCCTCAGCTTGGTTCCTTGCTTTGCATTTGTATTTTATTTCTAGTTCATGAAAATGTTTACCTCATTTCTTAATTTCTCTTATTTTTTCCTTTTTTATCATTCTTCATTTTCGTTTGGAATAGAAAGGTTACATGAAAACATAAACTTACAAAGCCATCTTATTCCATCTGTGTTTTGTTCAAATTTTCACTTGATCTGTGCTAGGACAGATTTCTGAAATCCTAGGTATGTTCAATGGCAGGCAATTTTTTAGCCAAATGCTTTGGGGAAGATGATCTGGAAGAGAGGATTATTTTTGGTCTAAAAAAGAGAGATTAGATAAACATAACAAGGGGCATCTTTAATTAGCCATCACTTTTTAAAAAACTCTTATTTTAGGTTCAGGGTACATGTGCTGGTTTGTTATACAGGTAAACTCATGTCACAGGCTTTTGTTGTACAGATTATTTCATCACCCAGGTGTTAAGCTTAGTACCCAACAGTTATTTTTTCTCTTCTCTCTTCTTCCACCCTTCCATCCTCAAGTTGACCCTTGTGTCTGTTGTTCCCTTCTTTGTGCTCATGAGTTCTCATCATTTAGCTCCCATTTATAAGTGAGAACATGTGGTATTTAATATTGTTTCTGTGTTAGTTTACTAAGAATAATAGCCTCTAGATCCGTCCACAAAGGACATGATCTCGTTCTTTTTTATGGTTGCATGGTGTATATGTACCACATTTTCTTTATCCAATCTGTCATTGATGGGCATCTAGGTTGATTCCATGTCTTTGTGATTGTGAATAGTGCTGCAGTGAGCATTTGTGTGCATGTGCCTTTATGGTAGAATTATTTAGTTTCCTCTGGGTATATGCCCAACAATGGAATTGCTGGGCTAAATGGTAGTTCTGCTTTTAGCTCTTTGAGGAATCACTATACTGCTTTCCACAATGGTTGAACTAATTTACACTCCCACCAACAGTGTACAAGTGTTCCCTTTTTCTCTGCAACCTCATCAGCATCCATTATTTTGACTTTTTAATAATAGCCATATTGACTGGCATGAGATGGTATCTTCTTGTGGTTTTAATTCTCATTTCTCTAATGATCAGTGATATTGAGCTTTTTAAAATATGCTTGTTGGCTGCATGTATGTCTTCTTTTCAAAGGTTTCTATTCATATCCTTTGTCCAGTGGTTAATGGGGTTGTTTTTCTCTTGTAAATTTGTCTAAGTTTCTTATTGATGCTGGAATTATACTTTTCAGATGCATAGTTTGCAAATGTTTTCTCCCATTCTGTAGGTTGTCTGCTTACTCTGTTGATAGTTTCATTTGCTGTGCAGAGCTCTTAAGTTTAATTACATACCATTTGTCAATGTTTGCTTTTGTTGCGATTGTTTTTGGCGTCATTGTCATGAAATCTTTGCCCATTCCTATGCCCAGGGTGCTATTGCCTAGGATATCTTCCAGAGTTTTTATAGTCTTGGGCTTTACATTTAGTCTTTAATCCATCTTGAGTTGACTTTTTTATATAGTGTAAGGAAGGGGTTCAGCTTCAATCTTCTGCATATGGCCAGCTAGTTATCCCAGCACCATTTATTGAACAGGGAGTCTTTTCCCTATCGTTTTTGTCAGCTTTGTTGAAGATCAGATAGTCGTTAGGTGTGCAGCCTTGTTTCTGGGCTCTCTATTCTGTTCCATTGTTCTGCGTGTCTGCTTTTGTACTGGTACCATGGTGTTTTGGTTACTGTAGCCTTGTAGTATAGTATGAAGACAGGTAATGTGATGCCTCCTGTTTTGTTCTTTTTGCTTAGGATTGCCTTGGCTATTTGAGCTCTTTTTTGGTTTCATATGAATTTTAAGATAGTTTTATTTAATTCTGTAAAGAATGTTTTTGATAGTTTCATAGGAATAACACTGAATCTGTACATTGCTTTGAGCAGTTATGGCCATTTTAATGACATTGATTCTCCCTATGAGTGGGCATAGAATGTTTTTGCATTTATTTGTACCATCACTGATTTCTTTGAGCAGTGTTTTGTCATTCTCATTGTAAGATCTTTTACTTCCCTAGTTTGCTGTCTTCCTAGGTATTTTATTCTTTTTGTTGCAATTGTGAATGGTAATGCCTTTCTGATTTGGCTCTCAGGTTGGCTGTTGTTGGTGTACAGGAGTGCTAGTGATTTTTGTAGATTGATTTTGTATTCTAAAACTTTTTTGAAGTTGTTTATTGCTTGAAGGAGCTTTTGGACCAATACTATGGGGTTTTCTAGATATAGAATTGTGTCACTTACAAACAGGGATGGTTTGATTTCTTCCCTTCCTATTCAGCTTCCCTTCATTTCTTTGTCTTGACTGATTGCTCTGGTCAACACTTCCAATACTATCTTGAATAGAAGTGGTAGGGGAGGGCATTCTTGTCTTGTGCCAGTTTTCAAGGGGAATGCTTCCAGCTTTTGCCCATTCAGTATGATGTTGACTTTGGGTTTGTCATAAATGGCTCTTATTATTTTGAGGTATGCTCCTTCAATACCTAGTTTATTGAGAGTTTTTAACATGAAGAAATTGTGAATTTTGTCAAAAGCCTTTCCGCATCTATAATCATGTGGTTTTTGTCTTTAGTTCTGTTTATATGAAGAATCACATTTATTGATTTGCATATGTTGAACCAACCTTGCATCTTGGGAATGAAACCAAGTTGATCGTGGTGAATGAGCTTTTTGATGTGCTGCTGGATTTGGTTTGAGAATATTTTGTTGAGAATTTTTGCATCAGTGTTCATCAAAGATACTGGCACAAAGTTTTCTTTTTTTGCTGGGTCTCTGCCAGGTTTTGGTATCAGGATGAGACTGATCTCATAGAATAAACCTACTCAAGAGTCCCTCCTCCTCAATTTTTTGGAATAGTTTCAGTAGAAATTGTACCAGCTCTTATTTGTATGTCTGGAAGAATTTGGTTATGAATCCTTCTGGTCCTGGGCTTCTTTTGGTTGGTAAGCTATTTATTATTGATTCAATTATGGAGCTCATTATTGTTCTGTTCTGGGAATCCATTTTTTCCTGGATCAGTCTTGGGAGGGTTTATGTGTCCAGGAATTTATCCACCTCTTCTAGGTTTTCTATTTTGTGTGCATATAGGTGTTTACAGTAGTTTCTGATGGTTATTTTTATTTCCATGGGGTCAGTATTAACATCCCCTTCATCATTTCTAATTCTGTTTGTTTGGATCTTCTCTCTTCTTCATTAGTCTAGCTAGCAGCCTATCTTATTATTTTTTTTTCAGAAAACCAACTCCTGGATTTGTTGATCTTCAAAATGGTTTTTCATGTCTAATTTTCCATCAGTTTATCTCTGATTTTGGTTATTTCTTGTCTTCTGCTAGATTTGGGGTTGATATGTTCTTGCTTCTCTAATTCTTTCAGTTGTGATGTTAGGTTGTTAATTCAAGATCTTTCTAACTGTTTGGGCATTTAGAGCTATGAATTTCCCTCTTAGCACTACTTTAGCTGTATCCTGTAGATTTTGGTATGTTGGATCTTTAGTCTCATTAGTTTCAAAGAACTTCTTGATTTCTGCCTTAATTTCATTATTTATCCTAAAGTTATTCAGGGGCATATTGTTAAATTTCCATGTAATTGCATGGTTTTGAGCAATTTTCCTAGTCTTGACTTCTACTTTTATTCTGCTGTGGTCCGAGAATGTGTTTGGTGTTCCTTTGCATTTGCTGAGGATTGTTTTACATCCAATTATGTGGTAGATTTTAGAGTATGTGCCATGAGGCAATGAGAAGAATGTGCATTCTGTTGTTGTTTGGTGGAGAGTTCTGTACAGGTCTATCAGATCCATTTGGTCCAAGGCTGAGTTCAGGTTCTGAATATATTTGTTAATTTTCTGGCTTAATGATCTGTCTAATACTGTCACTGGAGTTTTTAAGTCTGTCATTATTATTATGTGGTAGTCTATATCTCTTTGTAGATCTCTAAGAACTTCCTTTATGAATCTAGCTGCTCCTGTGTTAGGTGCATATATATTTAGGATAGTTAGGTCTTCTTGTTGAATTAATCCCTTTATCATTATGTAATGCCTTTCTTGATCTTTGTTCATTTAAACTCTGTTTTGTCTGAAATTAGGATTGCAACTCCTGCTTTTTTTCTGTTTTCAATTTGCTTGGTAGATTTCCCTCCATCACTTTACTTTGAGTCTATGGGTGTCATTACACATGAGATGGATCTCTTGAAGACAGTGTACCATTGGGTCTTGCTTTTTTACCCAGCTTGCCACTCTTGTGCCTTTTAACTGGGGGCATTTAGACCATGTACATTCAAGCTTAGTGTAGACATGTGTAGATTCAATCCTATCACTGTGTTGTTACCTGGTTATTCTGCCTTGCTTGTGTGGTTGCTTTATAGTGTCACTGGTCTGTGTATTTAAGTATGTTTTTGTATTTGCTGGTGGTGGTCTTTCCTTTCTGTATTTAGTGTCCCTTTCAAAATCTCTTGTAAGGCAGGTCTGGTGGTAACAAACTCCTAGAACGTTTGCTTACCTGAAAAGGATCTTATTTCTCCATCACTTAGGAAGCTTAGTTTACCTGGATATGAAATATCTGTTTTTCTTTAAGAATGTTGAATGTAGGTCCCCAATCTTTTCTGGCTTGTAGGATCTCAGCTGAGAGGCCAACTGTTAGCCTAATGGGGTTCCCTTTGTAAGTGACCTGTCATTTTTCTGTAGCTGCCTTTAACATTCTTTCTTTCATTTCAACCTTGGAAAATCTGATGATTACATGTATTGGGGATAATCTTGTGTAGAATCTTGCAGGGATTCTCTGTATTTCCTGAATTTGACTGTTGGCTTCTCTAGCAAGTTTGGAAAATTTTTGATAGACAATATCCTGAAATATGTTTTGCAAGTTGTCTGCTTTCTCCCTTCCCTTTCAACAATGCCAGTGATTCATAGATTTGGCCTGTTTATATAATCCCATACTTCTCAGAGGTTTTGCTCATTCCTCTTCATTCTTTTTTCTTTGTTTTTGTCTGAGTGTCTTATTTCAGAGAGCCAGTCTTCACATTCTGAGATTCTTTCCTCAGCTTGGTCTATTCTGTTGTTAATACTTCTGATTGCATTGTGAAATACTTTTATTGTGTTTTTCAGCCTTGTCAGATTCATTAGGTTCTTTTTTATATCAGCTATTTTGTCCTTCAGTTCCTGTATCATTTTACTATGATTCTTAGTTTCCTTGGATTGAGTTTTGCTGTTCTCCCAAATTTTGATCTTCATTTCTATCCATATTCTGAATTCTATTTTTGTAATTTCAGCCAGCTCAGCCTAGTTAAGAACTCTTGGCCGGGCACAGTGGCTCACGCCTGTAATTCCAGCACTTTGGGAGGCTGAGGCGGGCGGATCATGAGGTCAGGAGATGAAGACCATCCTGGCTAACATGGTGAATCCCGTCTCTACTAAAAAATACAAAAAATTAGCCGGGCGTGGTGGCGGGCACCTGTGGTCCCAGCTACATGGGAGGCTGAGGCAGGAGAATGGCATGAACCTGGGAGGTAGAGCTTGCAGTGAGCCGAGATTGAGATGGTGCCATTGTGCTCCAGCCTGGGCGACAGAGCAAGACTCTGTCTAAAAAAAAAAAAAAAAAACTCTTGTTGGAGAACTGGTGCAGTTGCTTGGAGGCGACACCACACTCTGGCCATTTGCATTACTAGAGTTCTTGCATTGGTTCTTTCTCACCTCTGTATGTGAGTGTTCCTTTAAGGAGGCATAGATTGAGTACAGTCAAGAGACTTCTTTTACGGATGTTTTCACAGGGCCAGTGCTTTTTGCAGAGTCTTTATTTGACTCTCACTGACTTGTTGTCTTTGGTTTCACAGTGGGATATGTTAGCAAGGTATATTTGTAGTTGAAGCTTTGGGATGTGATCCAGTAGGAGGTGCTTAGGTATACTGGTCTCTTGGTAGACTCTTGCTTGGTTGTGTGGCTCTCCTTTCTTTCCTCATAGTTGCAGCTGTGTGCCCACTCAATGCTCTGAAATTGTGGGCTCCTGTCCCCTTTGACTGCTGGCTGGAGATTGTGGCTTGGAACTCTTGGGCAGCCTGCTGTAGCTCTAGAACAATTTCAGGGTATATGTTCCTTCCTCAACTTGGAGGCAGCAGAGGAAAGGACCTTAGAAGTGGCTGTGACCAAGGGTCTTTTGCTTGTCCCCTGGGGGCTTTACCCTAGAAAGATGCAGGTCAGCAATCACTCAGTGCAATCAGCTTAGGATGGACAGTCTGTAGCCATCACATTTAAAAAACCAATTTGTAAAAGTAGTCTGTATCTGGTTTACAGTAAGAACTTCAAATTCTGATTACACCTTGGAAAAACATATGCAAACTGATGTCCTTATGTAACAGAAATATGCTATAACTGGCCAGGCTTTTTCTACCTAGCTTGCCCTTTTATGTGGAATATTCCTTTAGACAGTTTGTTTACTATGCCATAGTCCTTTATTACAGAAACTAAGGGAGGCAATGAATGAGAAACAAGGCAATGGAGATACTCACAATGAGATTCCAATCATAAAGTAAAATACACACAGGTAACATAATAAGTCTGAACACTAGGGGCAAAGTCCTTAGTGCTTATTTTTTCTCATGGATACAGAAACTACTTTCTTTGCGGACCAAGGGAGGGTCAGGCTTGGGACTGACATGTACAAACAAACATATACTTAGTAGTTTCATCTGGGAGCTAAAGCCTGACCTGAGAAAGTCACTACTTAAGCATCATTATTTTAAGATAACCAAGTGAAATCATGGACACAAAATATTGCTTATACCGATTTGCCAGGGCAAGCCCCTTACTTCTTTCTTAAAACTAATACAAGTGGTTTTTATGTTAAAAAGCAGAGGGTATTGCCCTAAAAATAATAGTGGATTTTGAAGTCTTCTGTAACCTTCCTTAGTCCATTTTCTGTTGCTATAACAGAATACCAAAGACTGGGTAATTTAGAAAGAAGAGACATTTACTTAGCTCAAAGTTCTGGAAGATGAGAAGTCTAAGATTGGGAAGCTGCATCAGATGAAGGGCTCCTTGCTTCATTATCTCATGGCAGAAGGATAAAAGGGCAAGTGAGTACATGCTAAAGAGACACCAGGAGCCAAAATCACTTTATAACTCCCCCACTCCTGAGACAACAACATTAATCCATCCATAAAAGTTCTGCCCTCATGACTCAATCACCTCCTATTAGGCCTCACCTCTTAACACTGTTGCACTGTGGATTAGGTTTTGAACACATGAACTTTTGGGGGACACATTCAAACCACAGAAGTTTCCAATAAGACTAGGTTGACTAGGTCAGGCGCAGTGGCTAATGCCTGTAATCCCAGCCTTTGTGAGGCTGCGGCAGGTGGATCATGAGGTCAGGAATTTGAGATCAGCCTGGCCAACATGGTGAAATCCTGTCTCTACTAAAAATACAAAAATTAGCTAGGCGCGGTGGTGGGCGCCTGCAATCCCAGTACACGAGAGGCTGAGGCAGAAAAATTGCTTGAATCCAGGAGGTGGAGGTTGCAGTGAGCCGAGATCATGCCACTGCACTCCAGACTGGGTGACAGAGCAAAACTCTCTCATGGAACAAACAAAAAAAGGGTAAGCTGACTATGTGAGAAACTGTTTGTTTTGGGAAGCACAGAAACCATGGTACTGGGGGGATATGATATAGGTCAGAAAGTTTTGATATTTTTGAATTATGCTTAATGGAACTGAGAGCTGCCATAGAAGTTGACAATTGAAAGAAGATCTGGGTGAAGATTAGCATCTATAAAATAAAAAGAGGATATTGTGACCTCATTCACCTAGTGCTGCAATATTAGAACTACTTGGTATTTCCTGGAGCTTGCAATTTATTTACATAAAATAAAATAAATTACGGTGACACTAAGGTATTATATTATGAAGCTCTTTATTCTCAGGAGGTATTATAGCCCAAACCCAGAGAGGCTATAATAATAAGTAACACCCACAAAATGAATGAGAAGAAAGCTGTGTTTTGGGTATAGCCTTAACTTTGACCTCATGCAGTATTCTCCTCTAAAATCTTGATTGGTCTTGAATTATCAGAGACTCAATATAGGCTATCTAACAATCCAGTATAGCAAATTTTCCAGTCCTGAAAGGTTTAAGGGTTATATAAGATAGATTTTCTATTTCCATAGATTTTCTACAACTCACCAGAGTTCATCATGAAGTTTTTGAAATTGTTTAAAAAGATTCAACTACTAGGTATTAGATTAGAGAGTAGAGTTTCATTGATGCTATTTTCTAATCATGAAAATACATATTGCTTTAGAAGGACATATAGATGTCTCTATGTCTACCTGATGTCTATAATCATGTAATTAAAATTATTAAAAATATGAGCATTTTTGGTTTGATCCTTTATGGGATAGTCCTTTAGACTGTTTATAAAATATTTAATGAGAGTCTAGAAGTTGTCAGGCAATACAGCTATCTCTATCATTTTCAAAGATCTAGAAATCCCTTTTTGCTTCTCTGATCCTTCTCTATAAAATTTGATCCATGCATCAACATTATCTAATGTAGTCTCTAATGCCTAACAAAATATAATAAATTATTAGAAATGACATAAATTAATCAACACATATAAAAATGTGCTGTGGTGTATGGTTTATACATTTGAAGTATATAGTTAAAACTGAAAGCAAGAAACTAGAGTTTGGAAGAAAATAAGAGATGATGGGAAAGAAAGAATGAAAGAGCAAAAAGAGAAGGTGAAGATGTGATGGTATATTTTGTTATCATATGGACTTTGTGCATGATCTTCATTCTGTTTACTATCAGGTTTAGTGTTCTTATAAATATAGCAAGCCAGAATCTGCAGGAAATGGGAATTAAAACAAAAAATGGCACAATATTAAAACTGGATATATAGGAAATTAAGGCCCAATTATCATGGACATTTTTGGACCATGACTTATTTATAAAGCAGTTGTTCTGGGGTAAAAAAGGAGACATAACAAGGCAATCTGGGATTATGTGCTTCTCGAATTTGTAGGGTTTCTCAAATGGCCAGGTTGGAGTCATGCTCTTCAACCTTTCCTCCCATCAAGATTTAAACTGTGCTGTGAGATCCAGTCTTAATGGCCTGCAGAGTTCAGGGCATGATCATTGACTCAAACAGACCTCAATTCAGTTCTCAGTTTTGCAACTTTCCAGCAGTGACCTTAGATAAGTTTTATTCCTAAACTCTCTGCTACTCTACCTCAAGCAGGGATAATAACAGTACCTACCTCAAGGATTTTTATAATTAAAATTACACAGTAATTGCACC
Organism: Homo sapiens; assembly: GCF_000001405.40. Taxonomy (NCBI): domain Eukaryota; kingdom Metazoa; phylum Chordata; class Mammalia; order Primates; family Hominidae; genus Homo; species Homo sapiens. The sequence goes on from NC_000004.12 coordinate 114,585,565, forward strand.
TGGAAAACACTACTTAGGATTCAATGCAGAAGCCATAATTTTTATCATTATTATTATGGAGAGCAGCATCAAATTAGACCTAATGAATCTTTGTGTACATTTAGATGCTCTATGTTCCTCAGGTCTCCAAAATAGACAATCACATTTAAAGAGCTCAAAGAGAAGAGCCGGTTTGTGAAGTCAGTGATGTTGTCAGAGTTATAAGGTGCCCCATCACAATATATTCAAATACTTGGATCTGTTAGCAAAGGGGTGTTGGAATGTACAGCCACCCATATTTCTCTCTATGATTGAATTTAAATCCATTCTGCTCTATTCTACTTTACATGGTCTACATTACAGGGTCACTTGATGTAAAAGTGTACCATTAATAATTTATTTTAGGAGGTATCATTCTTGAAAGTATTAAAGGAAAATTTGTATATTACTTTTAAAGTATTCATTAATCATGACATTACAAAAGTATATTCTTGCAAGTAGTTTAATATCTGAACACACAAAAACTTTTTAAACCATGTTGCATTTACTATAAAATGCCTAAAACTCATGTAGAGCTTTGAGCACACTCTTTTTTCTCTAGTATTCTTTTTCAAAAAGTCTTCATTTTAAACCTATTCCTGACTTCAGTCAGGATAAATTTTCAGGATAAAAAATCACTGTACAAAAATCAGTAGCATGTCTCTACACCAATGACATTCAAGCTTAGAGCCAAACCAATAATGCAATCCTACATACAATAGACACACACACACAAAATAAAATATCTGGAATACATCTAACCAAGGAGGTGAAAAGAGAACTACACAGCACTGCTAAAAGAAATTATAGATGACACAAACAAATGGATAAACATTCCATGCTCATGGATTGGAAGAACTGATACCATTAAAATGGCCATACTACCTAAAGAAATTTACAGATTCAATGCTATTCCTATCAAACTACCAACATCATCATACTGTAAACCTCAGCATCACACAATATAACCAAGTAAGAAAACTGCACATGTACCTACCTCCTGAATCTAAAATAAAAATTGGAAAAAACCAACCAACCAAAACAAAACCTATTCCCATTTCCACATTCTTCTTCCGCAAAAAGATGTATACATGTATTATAATACATGTATCTATCAATATTACGGTCTACTCTTTCATTCATATATTATTTTGTCAGTGGGTAATGTCTCTACTATTTCTACTTGAAAATGAGAAAAAGAATCAATGTAGTAATTTTATCAGAAAATGTTTGAGTCAAAATATATTAAGGTAACTATGGACAAAAATGGATGAAGTTCATTAAAGTGTGAAATGTAATAACTAAATTATTCCCTCTAATTGAATTTTCCTTCTTTTTTTGACTTATAGAACTTTTATTCATCCTTTAAAACACTGTTCAAATGTCAATTATTTGTGAAGTCTTCTGAAACTTTCTCACACAATTATCGTACTTCCTCTGTATTACTTCCATGCTTTCATCATCTTCTATTTTTACATGTGTAATATATTTACCCTTATTTCCCACAATTCTGAGTTCCTTGAGGATCAGAGGATCATGACACATTCATATTTGTGGCTGGACTATCTAACAGGGCCTACACCTATAGTGCTCAACTGTTTATTCATTTGGATTGAAACAGTATGAAAAGTACAATTTAACAAAGCAATATATTTCTAGTTTAATATATAGAAAGTACTTTTAAAATTGTAATATTATGTATTTTAAGGTAGGTTTATTCACTTGATTTATAAAATTGTCCAAGTATTACTAATACATTATTTTATTCTCAGACAAAATACCCTTTAGTTCTTGAAGAACTGAAAAACCTACCTGTTCTTCATGCCCTCGTCAAGTACAATCTTTCCCAATATCCTTTGTCTAACAAGTCTAGCTAATATTAATCACCTTCTCTTCTTTCTCACTACTTGTTTTTATTACGTGTTTGACAGTTGATTACATTTAAATACAGTATGATTATATACTTACATTTTTTTCAAAATGTTTTTAAGTTACTTCTTTCCCCAGCTTGTTAAGGGCAGAATCAATAAAATAATTTTTGTTGGGGGTTAAGGGAGCAAATTCTCTACAGTGTTTATTAAAACTGAGCATAAATTGGGTGTTTAACAAACATTTGCTAGATGGATGAATGCAGTACAGCTAGTGAGATGAATAAAATGAATGTAAGAACTGTTTTAAAGAGATACTAGGTTACTTACTATAATAAAAGGCAAAGTATTAGAAGAACTTGGTCTTGTCAGAACACTGTATGAAAAATCAGTCCTGCAGTCACAAAAAAGGTAGCAAGGAAGCTAAAAAAGGACATTTTCCATTATGCTGTGCTGCCTCCAGTAACAGAAAAATTCCCAATTAAATCTGTCAATAAATATAACAACCCCAACAAAACTTAGAAAGCTGGATAATTTTCTCCATTACCAGTTAGAGTTGTAGATAGAGAATACTGTTAACATGTATTGAGCACTACTAGGTGCCAGGAGCTATGTCTTGCTTTATGAAATAGACACTACTATTATATTCATTTCACAGATAAAGAAATCAAAACACAGAAAAGTTAGGTAACATGCCAAAAAATCACACATCTAACAAATGGTGAGGCAGAAGTTCAATTTGTTGTGGGACAATCAAAGACCAGAGAGATCGAAAAAGGTTCAGGAGAGTCTATTAAGGTGATCACCAGCCCAGCCGGACATATGTCCAGAAAGTATGAGCCCCAAACTAAGGGCTTTTCCTACTTTTAAACATCTTAAGGCGGGAACTATGTGAGGCGGGAAGCAAGTTACAGAAGCGAGAAACAAAGGCAGTTAATCAAGCATTACAACATTTCTTACATCTTGAGAAAGACATGTCTTGCAACCTAAACTTAATGGTCTTGTGACCCTGCAGCCATGCAGGAGCTCACTGGCCTGTAATAAACTTGAAGTATTTGGAGTTGGGGAGTATAGATAAGGTCCACTGTCCACAGAGACAAGACAGGCTGTTAACATTCTCTTTTAACTTGAGTGTAAGGCCGGCGGGGGAAGGGGGGGCGTTGTCACACTTTGCAGCAACTTTAAGAGGATTTTAAAATATCTATTACTACTACTATTAGTTTATAGTTGATTTCATTAATTCCTTCTTCATTCTCCCCTTTTGGTGCTTGACACAAATGTACCTTTTCCATCGTCATCAATTTGTAAGCAGCAATTTGTTAAATTAAGTTTTCCACACACTCCTCCTAAAGCTAAAAGATAATCCAGTGCTAACCTGTTCTGACAAATGGCATCTTTCATCTAGATCACCTGTATGGCTAGCAAGCCTAAGGCTCGGGCTGTTTCATTGACTATAATTTCCAGAACTGCTGGCAACCTTATGATGTGGTTTAACATATAAATAGGAGTACGGTATCCCCATGACCCATCCTGTGCCCAGGTGGCTGGTCCACAGTATTTGATAATTCTTTCAGGGGGCCATTTATTATTGTTCCAGCTCCCCATTTCAGTGTCCTTTTTAATGTTAGTATTTATTTTTTCCACAGTACTTATTTTTGTAAACACTTGTCTTCTGACTCTTTTTCTGCCTTCATCATAGACCAAATAGCTTGGATTTTCCCTTTGCTGCAGTGGGAGTAGGAAAAAGGATGGCTATATTTTTCCTAATACACATGCCCCTGTCCATTTATCTGGTAGTAATTGATAAGCCTTTGTTCCACAGATGCAATATAACCCTGCAGGTTCTCTCTAAACAGCTGGAGCATCTAATTGGTACCATGATTGATTTAGTGTTGGGAACTGCAAAAAGCGATTAAAATCTGACACAGAGGAATTGTCTATAAAGCTTCTCCCTTGTGTTCTGTTCTCAAATTCTTCAAAATATTGTTGACCTAGGCAAGTTGTTTCCCCTACCTGGTTCTGAAAGGCCTTGCCCCAATGGGTGATACAGTATTTTACGATGATGGGGTTCCTTAATAGCCAAACACTTGGATTTGCTGAATTTTGTAACAAATTCAGGCAAGGTAAAATTGTCTTGTGGCATCAATTCTCTGGCATCCCAGGGCCATTGATCTCCCATATTAGTATCTCCACATACATAACATGAAGTAACTCGTAAATTATTAGCAATACTTTTGGCTAGCTGGGCAAGCAGATTTTCAGCTGATATAGGAGGAATTTGAATTTCTGATATTTCAGGATTAAAGTGTTCACTGAAAGATTTATAAAATCTAAACTGTTGTATCGGGCTAACTTGAATTTGGGTCCTTTGGGTTTTCTTTGTGATGACTAGAGGAATACCAAGTCCTAGGAGTGCTCCCCCCGATCAAAAATTAGTAACCCTTTATACCCTTTAGTCCAGAAAGGCATATTTGGCTTTAGTATTGTCAGATTGAGTGGGTTGCATGTTCCAGTTGTGCACCCTATAGTTGCCTCTTGGCTGGCAAATAGAGCAACCCTTCCTGTGTATAGGTGCTGATTAAATTCATGTGTGGTCCACTGATTATCACAATCATGGCAGTCTTTTTTGGACTCTCCTATTACAGCCTTGGTGGCTCTGTGCTGACTCTTTCTTGTCCTAGATTTTTACAGATGGTCCCAATATTATTTAGTTTACTGAGATGTGCAGCTTGGCAGGCATCAAAATGTATGAAGACAGGCCCTTTATGAGAGTAAGGGAATAATTCCATTTTGTTTACAAGTTTACTGACCCCGGTTTCTGTGGGGTTTGTGTATGATGGCATTACGGGTTCGCCAATTTGGACTTCAAACCAGAAGTCATAGGGCAAGAACTCTGGGTCATAACATACTTGGTGCTGCCTGTTTCCAGGATCACAGACTGAGTAACTAGTCTGGTTATAGACACAAGTTCCTGTATGAGTCCCTGTACACTCATAGTAGGTCTGGTATAACAGAGTTTTAGTCACACCTTTTCTGGACCAGTCTTCTATCATACAGTGATGACAGTCATCCTGCTCCCCTTTTATGACCATAGGTGAAAGTGTCAGTGCCTTCAGTATTACTAATATGATTAAACTTATACTATGCATGGGCACCCTTCTGGGCAACAAGCTTGGCAGCATTTACAAAGATAACATGACAGCAAAATAAATCAGTACAAGTAGGAGTATAACTATTGTTTGTAAATTCAATCCACATTTACTTATCTACCATTGACTTCCTCAGGCTTCGGCCATGAGTAGACTAGTCAGCTTCCGGTTGTGTGACTAGAGCAGGGCTTGATGTTTTCTCAAGCTTCAGTTGTGCGTGGACCAACCAGCTTCCAGTGTGATCAGAGCAGGGCAGTTGTCCTTGTCAGCCGTGGCTTGGTTTCACCAGTGTCGGGTGGTCTGGATTTTGTTGACTGGTCCACTGGTTCTGGGCAGTGGCTGCTGCTGGTTTCAGCTGGCTATGATGAACCCAAGGTGTGATACCTGCAACTTTAACAGCAGTGGTGGTAGACAAGATCACAATATGGGGGCCATCCCATAAAGGCCCTAAGGTGGTTGGGTTTCATCATTTGACCTAGACAGAGTCTTCAGGTTGGAAGGGATGTACTGCATCTGTGAGGCTAACAGGTATTCTTTTTCTTACCCACCCTTGTATTTCCTGCATGGCCTCACCTAAGGCTTGCATTTGCCTTCTTAAGGTTAATCCCCCAATCTCTTTCTTTCTTTTTTTTTTTTTTTTTTTTGAGACAGTGTCTTGCTCTAATCCCCTTTTATCTGAGTTATGATTGCGGGTGGTCAGCTGAATACTATCTCATAGCGTGAATACCAGTTAATTTAGTAGGGGTGCACCTGACTCGGAGAAGGACCATGGGGAGCACCTGATCCCACCTTAGATGAGTTTCTTGGCAAAACTTCTTTAACAGCTGTTTGAATGTCTGGTTCATTTTTTCAGCTTTTTCAGAACTCTGTGGGTGATAAGCTGTATGCAGTTTCCATTTGATTTTTAACATCTGCATTAACTGTTGTACTATTTTCTGCCATAAATGCTGGGCCATTGTCTGATTCTAAAGTTAGAGGCAGTCCAAATCTAGGAATAATGTCCTTTAGTAAGATCCTGGTTACTTCCCGCGCTTTCTCTGTCACGGTGGGAAATGACTCGACCCACCCTGAGAAAGTGCAGACAAACCTCCTGTACCGGTAGCCTCCAACTCGAGGCAGCTTGGTAAAGTCCACAAGCAGGTTTTCACAAGGTGTAGCTTCAGTTTTTTGAATCCCCGGGGGCTGTGTTGGCCCCTGCAGTGGCTCACAAATGGTTCGAGTGATGGCAATTAGACGCGGCACATAGAAATGCCATCCTACAAGAGTCTCTAACGCAGTTTTCTCCATATGCGTTCCTTGATGAAACTGCTTTATGAACTGGGGTGGGGGTGCTATTGCTTCTGGGATGGCGAGCCTCCCATCTGAGAACTTCCACCAACCTCCTTTCTGGTAAATTCCATTCTTCTGCTCAAACCAAGCCTTTTCATTAGCAGAATAGTTAGGGGGTTCTGTAAGGGGAAGCTCCAGTAAAGGCATAGTAAGGGTTTCCTTTTCCTTCTTAGTTACCTCTGTCATTGCAGCTCTTTTGGCTTCTCTGTCCACCTTTCTGTTTCCTCTAGCCTCATCACCTCCTTCTGTTTGATGCCCTTTGCAATAGATGACTGTTACTTCTTTTGGAACCCATACGGCTTCTAAGAGCTGCTCTATTTCCTTTTAATTTTTTATTTTCTTTCCTTCAGTAGTTAACAACCCTCTTTCCTTATATATGGCTCCATGGGCATGCAAAGTGGCAAAAGCATACCTTGAGTCAGTATAGATGTTTACTGATTTTCCTTTTGCCAAGAGCAACGCTCTAGTGAGAGCTATTAGCTCAGCAATTTGGGCTAAAGTTCCGACTGGCAGAGGGTGGGCTTCAGATACTGAATTCAGTGTTACCACTGCATATCCAGCCCATCTGACACCTTCAGATATGAAGCTGCTCCCATCAGTAAAGTATTCGACATCTGGGTCTTTTAAGGGCTGGTCCTTTATGTCTTTTCGGCTTGAGAAAACCTCATCCAGTATTTCCACACAACAGTCATACCCAGGGCCACACAACATGGGCTTTCCATGCTCTACCCATTCTATTGGCAGCAGTGTGGCTGGATTTAGAGTATTCACAATCTCCAAGGTTATGTAGGGGTTTTCACACAAAAGCCCTTGATATCTTAACATCCTAGGGTTAGAAAGCCAGCGATGCCCACTCTGCTCCATCAGGGTGATGACCGTGTGGGGAACCCGAATTATCAACCTTTGTCCCAATTTGAGCTTGTTAGCATCTTCTGCTAACAGGACAGTGGCTGCCAATGCCTTGAAACACAGTGGCCATCCCATAGCCACCAAGTCTAGCCCTTTGGACTAATATGCCATGGGCCAATACCATGACCCTAGTATTTGTACCAAGACTCCTGTAGCTATTCCTTAACTTTCATGAACATATAGGTAAAAAGGCTTTTTCATGTCTGGCAGTCCTAATGCTGGGGCCTGGATCAAAGCCTTCTTGATTTCTTTGAAGGCCATGTCCTGCTGTTTTCCCCATAGGAGGGGTTCCTTTTCCCCCTTTTTGTGGCTTCATATAATGGCTTAGCCATGAGCAAGAAATTTAGGGTCCAAATGCGAAGAACCCTGCTGCCTCTAGGAACTTTCTTATCTGGCACCGGGTGGTTGGAGTAGGAAACGCACAAACAGCCTACTTTCATTCACCACCGAGCCATCTTTTCCCTTGGCTTATACAGAAGCCTAAATACTGGACACTTTTAAAGCAGATTTGAGCCTTTTTTACCTGACACTTTATATCCTGCCTTCCACAGCAGGTGCAGAAGGTTTTGGGTTTTTCCCGGGTGCAGTAGCCCTTGGCCAGTGGCTTTCTTATACCATGGTCCTGACCATTTTCCTTATTCTCTTGACATTCATCCTTTCAGTGTCCTTTCCTTTTGCACCATTCACATTAATCTTTTTCTAGCCTTGGCCAGCTCTTAAATCCCTGTCCAGACTGGCCTCTTTCATGACTGCACCCACGCCTCCTTGCAAAGTCAGCTTCCCTTCCCGTGAGGGCTGCTGCTAGTAAATCTGCCTTTCCTTAAGCTTCCAATTAGCTTCCTTCTTTGCCTCCTGATCTCGGTTAATGTACACCTTTGTAGCCACTTTAGTAAGCTGAGTATCACTCACGCCTGTGGAGCTTCTAACTTCTGGAATTTATGCCTGATATTTCCCTGGGCCTGCCTTACAAATGCCATATTTACCATGTACTGTTTTTCAGCAGCCTCAGGGTCAAATGGCATATGAAGCCGATAAGCCTCGCAGAGCCTCTCGTAAAATTCACCGGGACTTTCATCTGGCTTCTGGTGGACCTCTGAGACCTTTCTGATATTGGTGGCCTTTTTCCCTCCAGCCTTTATTCCATTTAGGAGTGCCTCTCAATACCACTGCAAACTTTGTGGCCCTTGAGCCTGGTTAGGGTCCCAGCCTGGGACAGCCTCTATCAGAAGTGCTTGTTGTGCATACTGCCTGATATCTCCTGTGCCTGCAGGCTCATTGTTCTCGAGCCACTGGAGAGCAGCTTGTATAACTCTTTGGTGCTCTTCCATATCAAATAATGACAGAAGAAGTTGTTTGCAATCAACCCAGGTAGGATTGTGCATTAGGAAAATGGGCTGCATTAAATCTATAAGAGCCTGAGGCTTTTCTGTATAGGAGGGAGTATGTTGTCTCCTATTTCAGAGATCAGTAGTAGAGAAGGGCTGATAAATGAAGAGCCATTCTCCCCCTTGGACTTCATTCTGTGCATTCAAATAAATTTGTCCCCATGTTTATCGGAGGGACATCTGCATTGCTTGGGCATGACCTGACCTAAGATAGCCAACCTCATCCCCCTGGAATTCCTCCCTTGGGTTTTCAGGTAAGGGCTCTGACTTCTGTCTGCGTGGTGTTGCCTGAGGGATGCTTTCTTCTGAGTCTGAGCCTCCAGAGGCAGCCAGGGCAGCCTCCTGTCTAAGCCTTGCCAAGGATGGATAAATTGGTGCATAGGGGGTAGAGTTTCTAACTCTTCAGATGGGGCCTGTAGGACAGGTTTTTTCTGCTTTTCCTGTGACTCTTTTTCTTTTTCTGATGACTTGCAGTCTCTTTCTATTGTTCCTGGTTTTGTCCAAGCCATTAAAGTCTTATGGTAGGTCTCAAAGCAGGTCTGCAGCCACTTAGGGCGGGTCTGAATTACACTTAGCTGGGAGTCTGTATACGGGAACTGATCTGGGTGCCTGGGCTATTCTCCAAGCCCAGTGACCACCTGAAACACTTGGCCAATTATCTCCTTGTGTATTGTCCCCTCGGCCAGCCACCCTACATTAAAAGACAGCCGGTTTATCTCACAAAAGGTTCTCAGTTTCTGTGGAGTTAGCTTAACCATTTAATCACCATTTAAACCTTTTGTAAAAGTTTTTCAGCATGCACTCCAGTGGAGTAGGCTTTGATGCTTTTCCTCCCATTTCTTCCCTCACGGCATGCTTTCACTGTCACTTTCACTCTTGGATCCACCAGACCAGGTCCTATTATGGGAGGTTCGGATGCTGCTTAGCCAGGAGAGTGCCTTCATTCCTGTTACAGCTAGCTGCAGCCATGGTGGATGCTGCTTAGCCAGGAGAGTACCTTAATTCCTGTTACAGCTAGCTGCAGCCATACAGCTGGTCCTATGGGCTGTATGCAGTGTTCTAGGTCTGGTTTTTCCCACACTCGCCTCAGAGCACACAGTGCATGCTAAGAGATCTGTGCCTCCCCATGTCACACCCCGCATTGGTCTCTCCTGAGACTGTCTCACACACCTCCCCCGTCCCTGAAACTGTTTTCCTTTCTGACTGACGTGCGAGCCCCACCTGCATCTGGTGTCGGTTAGGGCGTGAGTTTTGTCTGAATCAATGGGCCTCTCCCATTGTCCCAACCCCCTCGGGTCAGATCAGTCATCATGCCCTGGGAGATGATCAGGCTCCCCTTCCGTCCTTATGGGACGGGTCTTGCCTTAGGGCCCAAACTTTACCGTGGTTCAGATGGCTGTGCGCTGCTCCCGTGACCATCCTGCAACCCCTTCCACTGGTTCCATTTGTGCTGTCGGGGGAAGGCCCCAGAACGCGGGAGGGCAGTTCTCCTTCTGGGCTGAAACTCTCCTGGTGGTGCCAAGGACCCCAGATCTCCCATGTCCTGGGGCTGTAGCCCACAGGCAAAGGAGACAGAAAATGTTCCCTCTCCAATCCCGGATGAGCCCCCAGAAATGTTACAAGACAATCAAAGACTGGAGAGACTGAAAAAGGTTCAGGAGAGTCTATTAAGGTGATCACCGGCCCAGCCGGACATATGTCCAGAAAGTATGAGCCCCAAACTAAGGGCTTTTCCTACTTTTAAACATTTTAAGGCAGGAACTACATGAGGTGGGAAGCAAGTTACAGAAGCGAGAAACAAAGGCAGTTAATCAAGCATTACAACATTTCTTACATCTTGAGAAAAACATGTCTTGCAACCTAAACTTATTGGTCTTGTGACTGCAGCTGTGCAGGAGCTTGCTGGCCTGTAATAAACTTGAGTAATTTGGAGTTGGGGAGTATAGATAAGGTCCACTGTCCACAGAGACAGGACAGGCTGTTAACATTCTCCTTTAACTTGAGTGTAAGGGGGCAGGGATCACACTTTGCAGAAACTTTAAGAGGATTTTAAAATTTCTATTACTACTACTATTAAGTTACGTTTGATTTCATTAATTTCTTCTTCAAATTCTAGGAAGTCTGATCCCAGAGTTAATGGTGAATGATTACAAAACTTATATAATATCTCACATATGGTTGTTTATATTTTCCAATAAAGTTATATGGGGTGAATAATTATAACAAGTATTTCTGAAAAAAATAACAATTGAGAATACTGATATATATAGTCCACAGAAATAATGAGGGAATTTTAATACCATACTCCACATTGGCTGAAACTTTCTCACTGCAGGCTATGCTGTCCCATTCAACATTCTATAAACTAAAGATGATAGGGAGAATCTTGTTTAATCTGAATGGGAGCTTGAAGGATACATTAAATATGGAAAATATGCATCCTTCCTTAAAGAGAAGTAGCAAATGTTTTCATTATTCATTTATTCAACCACTTAGCCAATAATGTTAACAATTAAAGGTGGGAGCATTAAAAAAAGGAAAAGTGGGGTGGGGCGGTGAAATGAACCTCACTGATTTCTTGCTTTTATCATTTCAAACTCCAAAAGTGTATTTCAACTATTCATATGATGATTGAATAAACTTGTTTTACATTATGGAACACCCTTACTGTGTAGAGCTGTGAGAAATTCAATAATCAGTATTTAATGTGGACAAAAATAGATAGATTAGAGAAACAATAAACATGGACATATCTACACATAATATATACTCCTTTTCTATCCAAAAATCTGACAAAAACCTTACACAATGGTCAGTTTACACCATTTTAAGGACAAGGATGTGGTGAAACAATTTTAAACATTTTTATATAATAAAAGAAAAAAGTTGTTTTAATTGCTAATGATCAAGTTTTTACCAAGAATTTACATATGCATCATCAAACAGTAGCTTGAAACTGAAGCTTGACCTTTGAGAAATAAAGCTTTTAAAGTAAATGTCTAAATTCTCTTTTCTTTATTATGTTACATTTCATTTACTTTAGGTTTTCTAGTGCAATTTAAATAAGAAATAAATAGAGAGTATGGTAATCAGGTACAAAGGCTGTGAAAATATTCCCTGCATTTTGCACAGGGAATATGTTCAAATTCCTAATCTGCAAAGAAGAAAAGTGCATTTTCTTTTTTGAAATGGCATTTGAAGATCTCTCCATCCATGAACATTCTTGAGCATATGGATTTTACAATAACAGCAGTGTATATTAGTTTTTTAATTTATCATTAACTGATAACATATACAGTAAAATATAATTTCCGTTTTCTTATCTAAGGGCAGAAAATCCCAACCTATTTCTGAATCTCACTTTGGAACAAGGACAGAATGACCTGACATGGCATTTTTGATTTCCAACGTTTAAACGCATAACGTTTGTGTGCTATGGAAGCATCTTAGCTTCTGGAATTTATGCTCGACACGAAACATAAACAATAAACAATTCAGTCCACGTTATATAGACATATCTCATATATATATGAGATATATATATATAAAATATCTTACGCACATGCACACTTAGACTTTCTCGGTTTTCATGAAACTCACAATCTACCTCAGGCGCTCAAAGGCACTCGGCCTCTCAGGTCTGAGGCACCACAGAGAGGCTTCCTTGGGCACAGTTGCTTGCTGGTCAAGACGCCAACTTGGCAAGGTTATGCTGCTGGCAAAGGCAGATTCGTCAGAATAAAGTCGCCACAGGCTCAACCAGGCAAATCATGAATGGCCCTTTCAGCAGGAGCCTGAGAGGAGGGATGTTATTCAGCCCAGCAACCCTATTTACTTTTTTTCAGGATCCCCAAACTCGCGTTTTTTAAGGCTTTCCGCTACAAGAGAGCCAGAATTGAAGCCTGGGTTGGCGGCAGTGCAGGTACCTGCTCACCTAAGCATCCCTCTTTTAATTTTCCTAACTCCTCCACCCACTTGCCCAAGTATAACTTTTGAATGGATTCAGCAGAAGTGAGGCAGGAAAGGCAGGAAGATGAGAAAAGGCGCGACATCAACACGCAGAGCTCACTGAGCCGCCTTGATGATAAAAGGCGGGCACAGGGACTACGTGGGTGGTGGCAGAAAGGGCGCGGGACACGCCTCGCAAAGAGGGAAGAGTGGGCGGGGCCACGTGCCGTTGTCAGAGTTCGCAACTCGAGCGCCCAGAGGGCTCGCGAAAAGTCCCAGCCTGCAAGCCAACCTCGCTCAGCGGACGACTGGCCGGATCCCAACGCGCTGCCCCTTGCCCAGCCTGCGAGCGCGTGGTACGAAGGCGCGTCTGCATCCATGCCCCAGCCCGGGGAGCTGGAGGCGCTCGCAGTCAGAGGCGAGTGATGCTAGGCTGAGCGCGTGGCGGCCCGTGTCGTGCCCCGCTGAGCCAAGTGCGGAAGGGCAGCGGCGCGCTCCGACTCTGCTCGCCGCACGCAGGGCGGGGCGCGGCTGGGGGGCGGGGGGCCTGGCCGCCCGCTGGGAGCTGCGGACGAGCAGGCGCGCTGAGGACCCGAGGGAGGACACGGTTAAAGCATTGCTATCAACTGTGAACCCAGAGAGCCCTCCTTAGCCAACACGCTAACTCCGAAGCCTCCCTTACGCCCCCGAACCACCGAAGGCGGCGACACCTGATTCAGCGCACAAACACAGGTCCCTTCTGTCCCGGATACAATTACGCGGCAGACACACACTCAAACTCGCGCGGGGCAGCCAAGAGACGAGGTGAGCGGAGGGACCACGCCGTTCCAGAGGGCGGAAGGGGGGGCGGTCTGGGTGGAGGAGAGGGGCGTTGTTTGCTCCCTGAGGTGAGTGCCGGGCGAATGGCTGCTGTCCAGGGGCGGGGGGGTGGGAATTAGAAAGCACAGACAGGGTTGGGCTGAGGAAGTTAGAAGTGGTTAGTGGGGGTTGGCGGGGTAGGGAGAAAGGCTAGGGGTTGAGGGGGTGTGAAGGAGATCTTTTTAGGCTGGCCCCTCATAGCGCCCGCGATCCTGTTTCTGCCATATGGCATCCGTTCGAGGGTTCTCTCGCGTTTGTGCGCTCAAGGCAGAGGGAGGGTATAACGGGGAGGCGATTCGGCCGAGGACCTTGTACTTGACCCCTGAAGGGATGGGCACCGCGGAGCCCAGAGGCCAGAGCCAGCTGCCAGGGCAGGGATGGAGGTGGGGGACCAGGAGGAGCTTCGGGACCTCTTCAACTCCCCTTTACTCCGTCTTCCCCCTAAGGAGGAACAAGAGCGGGATGTGTTGGGGGTGGGGAATGTCTTGGGGCTGTACAAGCTCGCTGAGACTTTTCGGGGCCCGCCGTTTCCGCGTGCCCGCGCGACTCTCGACAATGGACAGTGTACAGTGGTGGCAGGGTTTCACGGGTCCCCGCGCCGATTTGGGAATGGTACGGGGTGCCCTTGCATTAGAGAAGCCTGTGCGGGCCCCCGGGATTAGAGAAGAGGTGAGCGCCTGCGGGCGGGGAGAGAAGGACGCGCTGCTGGCAAAAAGAAGGGCGCCTTCCATGGACTGGAGGAGCGGCGAGGGAGCCTGGTATGTGTGTTTTGGATTTGAAGGAGGCAAACCGCATCGGAGAGTGCAAGTAGATGCAGTGCGTCGGGGCAAAAGGACAATCTGAGGAGGTGGGCGGGGTACCCAATCTCTATATACAAGCTTTCTGGTTTAATTGAGGGTTTATAAAATTGAGTACGGTAAACCTGCCATTGTGCAGCACTTCCTTAGGAAAGGAATAGCCTCTGTACCTGTACCGCGAGTTCCCATCACCTTTCAGCATCTAGGCGGGGAGAGGAGAGAAGGTAGAGAACTTCTGAGAGAGTTCTGAGAACTAACGCGAATGGCTGGATTGCGCTAACTAGGCGTTCTTAGCAGGAAAATGTCGCCAAGGGAAGGAGTGGGTGGCGGTATCAAACCAGGCGTGCTCTGGAGAATCACCTTTATTATGAGCCAGTGTTAGCAGTGACGATAGAGTCTTTTATTTCTGGGGATCCTATTGGTAAAAATTAGAAAAAAACCACACTACTCCAAATACTCCAAAAATCTTCAGTCCCCTCAGGCTGTCACCTTGTACTACCAGTTTTTCAGTATCAATGACGTGAATGTTAGGGAGTTTGGCTAGATGCCAAATTGTTATCATTTCTGATAATTTCATGTTCAAAAACGTCTATATTCACTCAAAATTGGCGTGCTTCTGACATATCCCCAGAAAAAAATCACCACCATTTGAAGGAAGGATAGAAAGTGCCCTTTTTTCTTTTCTTTTTTAAAAACTTTTATTTTAGGTTTTGGGGTACATGTGAAGGGTTGTTACATAGGTAAACACATGTCACAGGGGTTTGTTTTACATATTATTTCATCACTCAGTTATTAAGCCCAGTACCCAATGGTTATCTTTAACCAATATTTTAATAGTGTTAAGAGTAACCATACTTTGTCCCCAGGAGATTTTAAAATTAGAGTCATGCATCTTAATATTATATGGTAAAGGAGACCAGAACTTTGTGTTACTTGAATTAAATCTTAGCCAGCTTAGTTTTCTCCTATAGAAACTGTCTCTTGGTGGTTTGAGGTTTTGCTTTAGGAATGTGTCTGTGTTCAGCAACTCTTCTAGATAATGCCAGAGAAAAACACTCTAGTATTGTATGATTTGCCTGCCACCTACAAGGTTAAGTTGACATCTAGTGTTGTGTGACTTAGTATTATACAAGTCTTTAAAAACTACAATAAAGCATAGTGCCCCGATATTTAGTAAAGGCTTGATACTCTATTAGGAGGTTGGGCATAACTGAACAGAAACTATACTTCTGACTTTTTCCAGGTAATACTACTATACAGGTTCAAACTCTTTTTAAATCTAAGATTTCCAGAGGACTATGCTTGTTGTATTTAAGCTTGGTACGCGTCTTAGAATAAATAAACCAATGCAGTAAATAAAGATGCTTATGACAATTTTTTTGGATAAAAACTACTTTTCGTTTAAAGATTTTGACAGTTTACATTTCCCAATAATTTAAATTAAAACATTTTATTGCACCTTATGAACAACTATCAGCTTCATTACCATTTAAATATTGCTAAAAATCCCATCTTCAATCCTCAAATCCTTTTTAAAATCATGCACCTGTTTATCAAATAATATCAATTTGTTGCTTTTTAATTCATACTAGGATTTTCCAACATACACCTGGGAATTTCTAAGATATCCTTGGAGAGTGAGAACTTTGATTATTTATGCAAGATATAGTATCTCATTTATTTGACCTCATCTGCATTGGTACTTATTTACATAAGCACATTTTCTCGGTAGCTGACTCTTCACACCGTTTATTACTGAAACTTAAAAAAAAAGAGCCATTATAACCCACAAGCAATTTCTAAATCTTACTGTCTTCCTTGTTCCCTTGGAGAATATTGGATATAAGTTATTCTTTCTTGTTGGGTTGTCTTTATGAATTCATAAAGAATTGAATAGTGCTATTCGCTGAGGTGTATAGAGCTGTTTTTGTTTATAGTAAATGGTCTCAGCCTGCTGGGTTGAAATACTAGAATAGAGACAGAAGTACCATTCTTCTTTTTATGTTTTTTTTTTTTTTCTGGGTCCTCTTTCTGTTATTGGCTATCACTTTCTGCTGCTGTCAGACTGTGAGTGGGCCCTGCTGCTCTATTATCTGTTGTCTTTTTTTCCATCAAATGATGTGGGCTATTGCCCGAGTGTAAATCCTGTAGACTTTGTGACAGACACTTTCAGTTTACGTGCTTTATTTGTGGTTTGGACTGTGAACTGAAATGTTTAGGTTTCCAGAAGGGTGACCTCTATATAAAAGGTTTTAATGTACCTTTTATAGAAAAAATTTGTGTATGAGATCTTTAGGAGGGTGTATTAATTTCAGACAATTCAGTCTTCTGGAATATCTTGGTGTTTCTGAGAAACTGAAGCAGCCTTTAAAAAAAAGTTTACTTTCTTATGATAGGCCCAGATCGTCTTTGTTTAGGAATATGTATACTAGAATATTTTACATATTACTTTCTGCCATTGAAACTTACTAACTATAATGTAGTGTAGTTAATATTTTTCTACCCCGGAAGTCCAGAATAAGAAGTATGATTTGAGAATCCTGCTAACCATACTTGAGGCTACATGAATTATTTAAATATTATTTTGCAAATCTACTTATGGAGGAGGTACATAATCAAATACATATGATTAAAATGGTTTAATTTGATCTTGAAAACAGTGGTAATCATATCTCCTTAATCTGAAGCATTTCACAAACATTCATTCTTTTATTCAACAAATATTTGTTAAAAGCATACTGTGTGCCAAGCACTGTGCTCTGGGGATGTGCATACAATTAAGGCCCTGGGAGGGCTCTAGGTTTAAAAGGGGGAGACAAGGAGGAAACAGGCTATTTTCAATATCTACAGTATAGTGCTGGCTGTTCTGTAAGTGCCGTGATAGAGATACACACACAGTACCCTGAGCAGAAATTTGGAAGTGGTCAATTCTGTGTGGGGACAGGAGATTTGAGGGTTTCTTAGAGGGTGACATAAAAGATGAATCACTGGAGGCAGGAGCAAGATCATGGAGGGCTGTTTGCCATTCTCAGGAGTATGGACTATTTTCAGTTTAAGGTTGTTTTAAACAGAGGAGCTATGTGATGAGAAAACAGCTCTTACAGCAAGCAATCTAGAAGGATGGATCTGAGGAATGTGAGATTTGGATGGTAGTTTAGAAGATATTGGGGTGGCTTTGGTAAGAGAGGTTGAGGTCCTTGTACCAAAGTGTTGGCAGTGGGATGAAAAAAAGGGGTTTGGTTACAACGATATTCAGGTGGTAGAACCTCTAAGATTAGGTGACCAATTTGGTTGGAGGATTGGGAGTGGGTGGTATAGGAGGATGGGATGGGAACTTAAAAGGAGATCCAGATTTGAGAGCAAGAGTGATAGAGTTCAGTTTTAGACATGTAGAACTTGAAGTGCTTATAGAAAATCGAACTGGAGATGTGTGTCCAGTGAATCATTGTATGTGAGTTCTGAGCACAGAGGTCCTGGGCTAGATAGGCAGGTAGATAAATGGTAGGTAGATAAATGGATAGACACACAGAAACATTTAGGAGTTTTCAGTGTATAGGTAATTATAAACCGTGAAAGTTGATAGGTTTTCCAGGGCAAGTACCAAAAGTTAATAGGGAAACAGAGGCCTGGGGAGATCCTAAAATTTAAGAGTTGGGTAGAGAAATAGGAAGCAATAAAGAAAAACGAGAAGGTACAGAACAAGAGAGGCAAGAGGAGAGTTAGGAGGGTGTAACTTTTAAAAGCAGCTGAAAACTGAGAAAATTTCAGAAAGTGAGAAGGTCAGGTACTGAAATGAGGGGGTGTTAGACAGTCTCGGTTCCCACCCCCTCTCGAGCCCCGAATAGCTCTGTGACCTTGAGCTCACAATTTAGTTTCATTTCCTCATTTAGCAAATGAGGGGAGAAGCACCTACTTTATAGGGCTACTGTGAGGATCAGATGAGATAAAATCTATCAAGCACAATGCCTGGGAGGTTACTCCTTTGTGTTTAACAAATGCTACCTGTTTTATGGAAACCAGGACTTGGATTTGTGATTAGAAGGTCCGTAGTCATTTTTGCTTTCACAAGTACTCGCTCTCAGAATTCACAGAGAGTGATTGAAAATATATTTTTAAGATGAAAATTTGATCATACTTTTAACTTTTTTGGTTAGAGGCCAGTAGAATAGCAGCCATTGAAAGTTTTGAAGGGAGCAGAGGGAGCCAACTGAACAAAAGTCCTTGAAGAGAGAGTGGAAGTTGCCTCAAGAGCGTTGCAGAGATGTTGGGTTTCTCAGGACAATCCATGCTTCCGCCAGTCAGGAGGGTCTGGTGGCATATGCATTGTGTTTAAAAAGCACCTGGTAATTAAACCTCCAGGTTTCTAATGTCTTGTTTAAAGTACTCTTAGTATTTTAAGTGTGTTCTAGTTCCTTAGATAATCTATAAGGACATTGATTATACATTTTAGTATTAGCTGAAAATAAACTCAGAAAACAATACAGATGATTTCAAAATTTAACAAAATGTAATTTAATATTTGATGATTCCAAAGGCACCTCTATACCTCATAGGGTCTTAAAAATCAACATGTGAAAAATAATTATTAGCCTGTGTAATAGGGGAAGGACTGATTTGTAGAGGTTTGTTTGCTTTTTTTTTTTTTTTCCCCCAATTAAGACTACTATGGTAATATTTAAATATACCTACTTTTTTCCTAGGATTTTCTGTTTGGATGAAGTGATGCTTTATATTAGAGATTAATAAACATTTTAAATTAGATTTCTATTTTAATATGTGTATAAGTTTTTTACTCTGTAATTACTGCATAATTTGAGAAAATGTTTACATCTATGCAGTGGTTTGGAAGTCAACCAACAATTGCACATAGTACATATTGTTTACTAATTGGTTATAAGGCATATAATAAATATTTGTTGTCCCAATACATGTTTGTTGAATAAAACAAAATTAGATATTCCATATTTTTAAGATGAAATGAATTTTATATCTGTAGTTTTAATATTTAATCATATTCTTTACCTGAAAATCGCTAGCCATACTTTTCGTTTTCAGCACTTCTCTATTTTGCAGTTGTGTTTCAGTGCTTTTTTTTTTCCCACTGTGCTTAGTCCTTCACGATTTATGGCCCTGTTATTTGTAAAGCATAGTAATCTAAGCAGGTGATTTTCAGTTTAGGATTTCTTCTAGTTCCATGTTGTATATTCACCAAGTCAGTTTTAGACTATATATTGTCATGCTCAGCACTCCCTTACAGAGATAACAGATGCCAAGTTGAAATTGACTTATACAGAATGCCACACTTAGGTAAGTGTTTAGGAGTGCATAGCCAAAATAAAAATGGTACCTTTGGTTTATGAATGGCAGGGCATCTAGGACAGTGTAGGTCAGTTCGTATTCTCTGGATGGACATTTATGTAAATATTAAAACATTTAGATTAGATGGAAAGATGTATAGTAGGAACATTTCAGAGATACTGTTTCCTTGTAGCATTGTACTATTTATCTGAATTGTTAATTTGGAATAATCACTATATTGATTTTATTTTGAAGATATAATTTATTTCCATTGACTTGATATAAATAACAGAAATGCATCTGCAAGGAATCCAGTTCATTAAAGAAATTTACATTCGTATCTGATTTGGTAAATATGTGCTTGATTTGGGAATATTATATAACAAAATATTTGTGAAATCATTTTGTACTTTTTAATTGTTTTGAAGAAATTTAATACTCAAAATATTTCAAGACACCAAATCATGACTTTTTAGTTATTACATTAAGCTATAACTTGCTTTAATGAGTAAAAACTGTGGGGCTAATTTTCTTCCAAGTGAAACATCAAGTTTAAATAATGTGCACATGAATTTACAAAGTAGAATCAAGTGTGCAAATATGCTATATGTTCTGTAATAGGTTCTTGAAAAGCTGTATATAAACTCAGCTTTTATAAGTTGAGTCATATTTATAGAATAAGAAAATAGGGCAAACATTTAACACTTCTTAAATATTAAGTGATGGGCATACAGATGTTTGTTATGTTAATCTTTATATTTTTCTGTATGTTAGAAATAGTTTACAGAAAAAAATTGTGGTTAGTGACATTAAAGCACATTATATATTAAATATACTCAGGGACTTTGAAATTTAAAGCAATATCAACATACAATTTACCATAGAAAAAATCCTATTCTGATTTTATTAATACCTGTTTTGCAAATTCAGAATTTTTAATGGGTTTAATTAAGCAGATACACACACAACAACAACAACAACAAAAAACTTGGACACACTTCTGTAACACATCTTGAATATAGTCTCATCTGTTGGAATTTTTTAAACTTCTACACTTAAGTCTTAATCTGATTCTCCCTCATCCTCATAATATTCATTATTCAGAGGAGAGGCATCAACAGGAAGAATTCAATTTTACTTAAATAAAAATTTTTTACTAGCAACGGAATGAGTGATTCAGTGGTGGTGTCTTCCTGCTTTGAGAGAGCTGTTCTAAGACTAGGCAGTTAGTCTTAGGCCTAAGACTAGGCAGTTAGTCTAGGGGCTCCACAGCAGGCCCTTCCTCTGGGTTCTCTTTATGAAGAAGGCCTTTGTGTTTTACATAGATTTTGCATTTGTGCTGCTGTCCCTATTGAGTTGTTCTCACCAAGCCAATCTGGGGAGTAGCTCTTAGGGGAAAACTAGTCAAACAGGTTTGCCTGTCTATTCAAAAGGAGGGAAGAACGGTGAAATGTATGGATAAAGGCCAAGAGTAAAACTGTTTTAAGTAATATTCATGCTAATCACTGACTGTTGGTTTTGAAAATACTTTGTAGACATTTGTGAGAATGTATCTTAATGGAGATAAAGTAAGAGAGAAACTGGAAGGGGAAGTAGTTTAGAAGCAGGGGATAAGGACAAGATGGGGAGAAGGAAGGGAAAAACAATGGAGGCAAAATAAGCTCAAGAAGGAAAGAATAGTGTTTCAGTGTCATATCTGGGCTTTATGTAAACTGGGTGTGTTATAGCAGGAAACCATGGTATTGATCTGAGAATGAATTTAATTAAAACAAACAAAAAACCCCCACATGCCTGTGATCCTCAATGTCCAAAATAGGGAGCGTCTTGCCAGGGCAGGGCTGAAGTTTACTAGGAATATTGGTGGGAAAATGTTATAGTTAACCATCTCTGATACTAATCTTATATTAGAGATAATACTTGGTTTCCCCTAGTAAAGTGTTAGAGTCATACAGCTTTATTGTAGTTTGCAAATCTATTACACATATATTTCTACTGTTTAGTTCTCATTCTGCCCCTGAAGCATAGCCCTATAGGTAGTAGCATTTTACAGCTCATAACTTGGTAGAGTCCCAAGTAACCTTTGGAAGTCAAAATGACAATCCAGTCTGGGGAATTTGATGTTAAAACTAAAGCTTCTTGCCTAGAACAAGTTTTGGAACTATAGCTCACCACCTGCCTCATGTTCTGGGAATGCTGAACCTTGATCCCACTGAAATTACCTTTAAGTAGTCTTTCTGTAGTCCTCAGTAATCTCCTCCTTTGCTCCATGCTTCTTCCCTGCTCCTTGAGAGTTCCTTCTCCTTTCTCATCTGTAATGGTAACTCCCCATCTGATCTTTGGTTGTGCCTCTTCTTCCTTCCTGGCATTTTTATTAACATCTTTTGTCCCAGCACCTCTCCTCTTCTCTATTCTCACTCCTTTGGTGTAGTTATTCATGCCCATAGACTGGATTTTTATTTATATATAGATGATTCAAAAAGCTGTATTTCTAATTGTGATTTCTTCTATACTCTCAAGAGCTTAGAGTTCCCAGCTCAACTTCCTAACTCAGATCTGACATCCCCATTTGCCTCAGTCTTCGAAGACAGATTTTGGTGTTGTGGAATTCACTTTTTTACCCTTTATATCTAATCTATTCCTAATTGATCACTATGTCCTTCATGAAGACCTTCTTCCCTTGCCTGAGTCTTTCCATTCACCTCCTGATGTCTTGGTGTAGTCCCACATCACTTCTTCACCAGTGGTACTAAATGACTCATTTTCACCATTACCTGGGCCTTCCATCACCTCCTACTGCCCACAACCATCAGTCACTTGTCCTTACTGACCCACTTGCCTTCTTTGAGTGTGATTTGACTATGCGTTTATTTTCACATGGGGATCCAAAATTTTTAGCATGGCTTTCGAGGCTGTCTATTGTCTAGCTGCTTTCTGATCAGACTTATTTATTTTCTCATATTGCTCAATAGGATTCTATCCTGTTTACCCACTGGGGCATTCATTTCAGGATATCCCCCCGCTTGAGATGTCCTGCCTTTTTTTTCTTCTGCACTTCCAAATTCTCACCCAAGGTTTTGACACTCAAGTCCCACCTCAGACTGTGGCTTCCCAGTCTCTGTCACTTTTCTGTGACTTTGATTTGTACATATATTGATGTTAGCAATTAGGTTTCATTCTCCCTCTAAGGAGAGTATGAACTCTTAGAGGGTGGAGTCTCTTGTCTCCTCATACACCTTGGACAAACACTATTGATCAGAGAGAAGATATTCAAACATGATTGAATGGTATCTTTAGTTTGTCATGAGGCAATAAGGGTAAGTTTCCTAATTTTCTATACGTATTTTGATTTTTTCCTGTTGTTTTTTCCAGAACTGCATCATTCAAACTTGAAACATTCCCCTATTTTTTTTTAACAAGGTGTTCTATATAGGAACAACATATCTTATAGGGATTGCTACATTATTTAGTCACAATGGAAAAAAAAGTTTGATATATAGAAAGATTATATAATAGTTACATGGAACTCTACTATAAAATTATAATGGTTTAGTGGGTTTTCTTTTTTAAATTTACCTGGGGCTTCTATAGGTGGATGTGCATTCACAACTAATTCTAGGTAATGCTAATAAAAGAAAATAATCACGGTGATAATTAACTGTATTTAGTTTTTATTTTGTATTTACATTTCAATGTAAGTATGCCTAATGTCATGAAACCATAGTTGGAGAAAATAATGATTATATGCATGAGGAAGATAACTTAGGAAGCATTCTAATTGTCCAACTCCCCACTTCCCCATAGACCTTTTATAACAATTAAATCAAAGCACCAGCCCAGGAATAATTCTTTTTTCCATTCTTTGTGCCTATTTCCTCCTTTGATAATTGCTGAATTCTTCTGGTCAGAATATCTCCCTTTCCATCTCCCTCTGAGCAGAGCAATAGGAATAGGAATATATTTTAAGCCAGGTGAAGTGGTGCAGGTCTGAGGTCCAGCTACTCTGGTGGCTGAGATGGGAGGATTGCTTGAGGTCAGGAGTTGAGGCTCAGGCTGTAGTGTGCTGTGGAGATCGTGCCTATGAATAGCCATTGCACTCCAGCCTGGGCAACATAGTGAGACCTTGTCTCTTAAAAAAAGAATATATTTTAAGAAAATTCCTCAGCTAAAGTAAAAAGAAAAGAGAGATAAGCTAGGTAAGATTATTAATCAGAAGTAATGCTTGTCTGTTTAATTTGCCAGTTTTAAATAATTCTTGAAGGCATTTGAGAGGTCATTATATTCTTTTAATCAGTTAGACTTTATCTGAATATATGCTTTGGAATATACTTTTTCTTCAAACTTCTAAACTATGTGCAATATACAGAAACAAGGTCCTCTGGCTGTCCTGCTTTCTGCTTGCTTTTTTTCTCTCCCTTTCACTTTTCTGGAGATAATTTTTCTGCCTCTTGTAGGGAATTCAGAGGAGGGATCCTAGTGATTGGCTTTACAAATTTGTGTGGGGGAGGGATTGGATAGAGTGGAGATGGGATAGGCATCTGCCCATCAGTAGGATTTGGTTGTTTGTCCAGCCTCTATATGGGCTTTAAATGCTTTATACTTTCTGACCATTATTTTTGCCAGCAAAAATGATGTAGCTTATTTTGATACTACTTAAATGCAGTCCTGTCCTTATTCTACCCCTACTACTCCATCCAAAGGGAGACTGAAGGGGAGACATTTTGAACCAGACATGTTGATTTCCTGGTGGCCTGTACAGTGAGTATTTTGTAACATTTAGAATTAATTCAGTCATTCATTTAATAAGTAACCTAATATATGCTAGAAATCTTCTGTCTTAGAGCCAAAATATATTGTAATTTTTTCATGGTCTAAGTATCTAAGGCTTTACAGTATAAAAGTTTAATAAAGTCATGACCAAGGCTTTACAAAGACTGCTATTTTGATTCATGTATCACAGAATTCAATAAAAAGTCAAACTATTATCTGACATATGGCAGTGACAACTTTGGAGGGTGTTTATATGGTACAAATAGAAGATGCTGGATTAGGACCTAGGAAACCTGAATGCTGGTTCCGACTCTGCCAGCGAATAACTGAACTAGCTGTGTAATGCAAAGACAACCACCCCATAGAGACTTTGCCCCTTTCTCTACAAATGAGGGGTTTGAAATCACCTATCTTTAGTTTTTAAATTGTGACTCATTTATTTAATGAAAATATATGGTTTTTAAAATTTTGATATCATTTTGGTACAAATATATTGTGTCAATGTTTAAATATATTTATCTTATTTTCACAAGACAATGGCAATGATATACAAAAGACTTTCTCTGGACTTGCCTCATTGTGGTGAATATCGGTTATAATCATAGATACTTAGAAGACACAAAATTATACATTCTTACCTGTTAGTAAAGGAACATCAAAGAAATTCATTCTGTTTTTCTGCAGAAACTATCAAAATTTTTCCACTTCTGGGGATTAAGATAACTTCTGTTTTTTATCTAATACTCAACCTATCTAATACAACCTTGTCCTAGTGATGATGGTAGAATTTTATAAAATAGGGAAGTTTGTTATTTGTTCACCTGTGAAGACCTTCAAGGAATTGAATAGGAAAATACCTAGAGTTTTGTTTCTTGTTCTGATTTGCTTGTTTATATTTGGCCAGTTTTGTCCTGAAAATATGTTTGAGAGATTACATGAAAATTTATTTTGTGACTCTTAATATAAATGTTAAAAATACATTTAAACTAGTGATAGTAAAGAAAGAATATCTTAATTAGTGGGGGAAATAATCCCATGATCTTTTGTGATTCTACAACATTACTGTAGCCTTAAGAATCTCTACTAATGTTGTATTGAAAAGCTGTTTCTCCTACATGTGAATATGTTTCATTGCAGGAGAAGATGAAAGTTTGATCTGGATATTCTCCAGATTCACTTGCTGTATTCTACTAATTAAAATCCCAATAAAAGAGAATTATGAAGAGTCCTAACAAAACATTTTAAAATGTCAATCATTGTTTTTGTATTTTTTAAAAATAAAACGTATACACGTTAGACTGTAAAGCCTTAATCTCAGTTGTATGATTTGTGAAACTTTTCTCACTTGTGTAAAGATGGGATCAGAATCAAAACAATTAATTTCCATATTGTTTGCTGAATGTTTATCACATGCTGCAGATGCGTGGAGATAACTGTACCAGGCTAGTCTTGGGGAATTTCAGAAATAGAAACCCACATCTTTTTCTGTAGGATAACATAGCCATATATATCCATATATATATATATATATATATATATATATATATATATATATACACACACACACAGAGATATTAGATATATATAATATCTATATTATATATTAGATATCTATATATAAGATAGCCGTATATATCCATATATATATATATATATACACACACACAGATGTTAGAAGACACAAAACTTTACATTCTTACCTGTATAATCATAGATACTTGGAAGACATATATTGTAGATACTTGGAAGACATAGATTCTTACCTGTATAATCATAGATACTTGGAAGACACATATTTACATATATATAAATATGTATACATATATATTTTTAAAATGAGGTATGTGATCAAGACGAAAGTTTTAATACCACTGTTTTCTTTATTAAAAAGGAAAATTGCATTTTTTAAAAATTACAAACTTTTATCCTTATTGTCTAAATTTGGTTTCTGGAACAGAAGCATCAGTGTTACCTGGTGACTTGTTAGGAATGGAAATTCTTGGGCTCATCCCAGATCTGTAAAATCAGAAACCATGAGGGCAGGCCCCACATGTGTGTTTGAACAAGACCTCCAGGTGATTGTGATGCCTGCTGAAGTTTGAGACCCACTTATCTATGATACCAGATATCTCATCAATTCACTTTTCTCACATAATGAAAAAATTCTGATCATCTTAAGGACAAAAGAAAAATTTAGTTTAGATTTTAAAATGCTTTCCAGGTAAGTTTTATAACCTAAACTCGTATCTTATTTTACTTACTAATTGGTTATTGAGGCATCAACAAATATTCTTAGTTCAGATAAACCCACACATTTCTCAGTTTATTAAAAAAAAACAGGGTTGAATTAGTTGTTTATTTTGGTATACTTTGCTATGACATTGTACAAGTGTAGCCTAGATTTTCTTAATTTTTAATCACAGGGAATAAAGGGGAGGAGGGTTTAAAAAAGCCAAAAACCCTTAGTCCTAGGCCTCATCCCCAGAAATTCTGATTTGATTGAACTACATTGTAGATGGCAGGTTTTCAGGCATCTCTATTTTTCCAAAGCTTCCCAGGTGATTATTATGTGCAGTTGGACTATAGCCATACGTTCAAAGATTGGCCCATCTACCACGTATAGGTCCATTAAAAAAATTGCACATTAGATCTATTAGGTTCTTTTATTATTTTAAGCAAATTGTCCTTTCATCTATGTTTAATTTAAAAATATTTTCTTTTCCAGTACGTTATTGGTATTGTTGATTTGCTTAACCATGTTATTGATCATTTTATTACTCTTTATTCAGCCTCCTGGTTTTGCTGTAAGTCCTTGCTTATTCAAAATGCACTCCAAGCACCAGTAGTCCCATATTACTAGAGAGCTTGTTTCATAAATAAGTATGATGGGGCCCTACCCTACGTCTACTGAACCACAATTTACATTTTAATAGTGTCCCTATAAAATGTGTCTTCACATTAATGATCCTCTATAACTTAAAATTTAAAATCAAGGTAAATTCTTTTTCTTTTCATTTTGTTTCTTAGAATTCATTGGTTTGATCTTAACTGCTTTTTATGAACCAAAGATATCAATCTCATTAAACCTATTCTTAAACCCTTTTTTTCCCAGTAAGTTTTAGAATAGTAAGGGATATTTTAAATTATCAAATTTCATAGCCCCACCTGACAGGTGAAGAAAATTAGGGACATAAATTAAATGACTTGGACTAAATTACAAAGGGTACTGATTTGGGGATCCATAGATGCATGCTGCAATCATTTTATTTTTCTTTTCATTATGTGTCACTTAAAATGATATCTTTGTAATTTAAACTACTTGAACTGTGAGCTAACTGAAAAGATAGTCTTAGATTACCAAGTACCATACATGTCCAAAAAACCTCAACATTTTATATATACATTAACAATTATTTTAATTATCTGTCTAAATTGATCTTGATAATGCTTTTCTAACATACTACTTCAAATTAGTTTAGAATTTAATTAATTAAGTAATAATGGGGAAGTTGACTATTAAACAACATGAAAATGAAAGGAACTACTATATGTGTTTACTACTTATTAAGTACTAAAAATAGTCATGTGCTTCTGAGAGACTGCTGGTACTTTGTATATAGAAATTTAAACAGAAAGTTGTTTGGAATTGTTTGTTCTGAGTTCCTGGGAATCTGGGGCTATGTGCATTATATTTTTCTAAATTCCCAAGATAATTGAGCTTTAATTCAGGTCTCGATAGTTGGATCCACATTACCTTCATTGTATTACCTGTATTTCTCTTATGCACATAAGTAACGAGTGCTAGATCCCTATCTGTCAGTTCGGTGGGAGAATTGCATAAATATCCCCAGCTGCTTACTAAATATGCAGATTCTTGGGTTTCTCCCTAGACTCCATAACAGCTTATTTGCTGAGGTGACTTTGGAACCTGTATTTTTAGTAAGTACTTGAGGTGATTCTTCTGGACGCCAGAATTTGAAAACAACTTCATTAGGTGATTATATCTTTGTGTTTTAAATAGTTAAATTTAATCACCATCATCAGGCATTAATTGGATACATACTGTGTACAAGGTACTGAGTGCAGTCTGTTGATATTCGTATTATCTTATTTTTATTTTCTCACTATATTTTTGTTTTTATCTTACCTTCCTGCTTAATGTTTTCAGAGAAACTCCCCAGGTGGGCCTAAGCCAGCTATCACTGATAAGCGAATAGGGTTGAGTTTCTCATTACAGCTTCACCACCTGTACTGTAGATGTCTGAAAAGAGATAACTGCAGATACTTGTGTTGAAGAAGTGGTAAGTGCAACTAGCTTGGAATGGTACAACAGCAACAACAACTGTCTTTATAACCTCTCCTTCAAGAAGAGGTTCTTTTGTATTTCTCTTGGCACTCATGAATGTTCCAGGTGCAAAACTGAATTTTTTGAGTGGTATTCCTAATGGTCTCTTCCTTTCATATTTCATGTGTGTAAAGAAAGGTCTGCCTCTGTAATACTCGTAGAGATTTCTATTAATCTTATTTTTCATAAGATGGCATACTAGTTTAAGGAATGGAATAGTAACACAATATTTTTCTTTATGCTCTTTTAAATGAGTTTGTTATCAGGCAAAGCAATATTTTAAAAGCAAAAGTGATTGTGTTAGAAATTTTGACCAAAAGCTTCTGACAGGGAACTTTGGATTAATTTATTTCATTAAGTTTGTGAAATGGAACCAAATTCCTTCTTCCTTTGCATTCAGCATTTTTCAGTTTTATTTCTGCAGTTAAGCCGTGGGCTTCTATACAAATAAATATAATTTTTCTGATGGAATGAAAAACATTAATTTAGTAATGTGGAGGATTTTGAAAATCTAGAGTTACTTATATTTATTAACTGCTGACAGCCAAACTGAGTTCTCTCTGTGTAAGGTTTTCACTCAGATTGTACTCTTAAAGGTGCCAGACTTTTTTTTTTTTTTTTTTTTGGGCAGGTGGAAGTTTTAACCAACAACAGGTGGCCTCAATTTTCTGAATTCTTTCTTCTCCTACCTCAAATCAGTATGTTCCCATTCTAGTGATTTTAGGGGATTCTTTGCTTTTAGTAGTTTACTTGCTAATAGCCACCATAAATAACTTAAGATTACCAAGAATTGCCTACAGATGAAAGATACATGTTTAAAACGAGGGCTATTTAACAACCAAGTAGATATAAAGCTTAGTTTTTCCCAGTTTGTCCACAGTTAACAACTTTTTTTAAGCTTTCTTTTTTTTCTCTCTTCACATGGTGGGATATGAGTACATTAATTTACTAGATACTAGATCTTTGTCAAGTTTTTATACTCTCAGTCTTATTATCTGTAAAGTGGGAGCCACTTTCTTGCCTTCATGTGATCTCAATATGAAATGAGATAATGTTTAGAAAGCTGGTAATGCAGGGGGAAGGCATGTAGCAATTAAAAACAGCTGCTGTTTATTGATACTTGTATGTTAAGTCAAAGCAATAGGGTGACCAGCTCGTCCCCGTGTGCCCAAGACTTTCCTAGTTTTAGCACTGAAAATCCCACATCCTGGGAAACTTCCCCCCTCCCCACCCAGTTCTAGGCAAACCAGGATCCTGAGTCCCCCTAGGGCTTCCGTGACTTAGGAAAGGTAGCTTAGTTGCTTCACACACAATAATTTGGGCATAAGCAGGCAGGGCTGGTGTTATGGTTTTGCAGTCTCAGGACCCAAGTGTCTTTGTTGTTACACCTTTTCTGGTTTATAATTCTGCCTGTATGGTCTAGGATGTTAATCATTACCATGTCTCATTCCAGCTGGCAGGAAGGTGAAAAGTGAAACTCCAAGGGCATACATTAGAAATTGCACATAGCAATTCTGCTTCCGTTTCACTCTCATTAAGTAGAACTTATTTATGTGACTAAAACAAGCTATTAGAGAGGTAGAGAAAAATTGTCTTTCGTCTTTTTGGCTATATGCCAAACTGAAGTACTCCAGACCCTTTTTGCCTGGGTATCAGGCAGCAGAGGCTGCAGAACAGCGGATATTGGTGAACAGCAAATGTTGCTGCCTGATTGTTCCTCTGGAAGTTTTGTCTCAGAGGAGTACCTGGCCATGTGAGGTGTCAGTCTGCCCTTACTGGGGGGTGCCTCCCAGTTAGGCTAGTCGGGGGTCAGGGACCCAGTTGAGGAGGCAGTCTGCCCGTTCTCAGATCTCCAGCTGCGTTCTGGGAGAACCACTACTCTCTTCAAAGCTGTCAGACAGGGACATTTAAGTCTGCAGAGGTTTCTGCTGCCTTTTTTGGGGCTATGCCCTGCCCCCAGAGGTGGAGTCTACAGAGGCAGGCAGGCCTCCTTGAGCTGCAGTGGGCTCCACCCAGTTCGAGCTTCCCGGCCGCCTTGTTTACCTACTCAAGCCTCGGCAGTGGCGGGCGCCCCTCCCCTAGCCTCATGGCCGCCTTGCAGTTTGATCTCAGACTGCTGTGCTAGCAATGAGTGAGGCTCCATGGGCGTAGGACCCTCTGAGCCATGCGGGGGATATAATCTCCTGGTGTGCTGTTTGCTAAGACCGTTGGAAAAGTGCAGTATTAGGGTGGGAGTGACCCGATTTTCCAGGTGCCTTCTGTCACCCCTTTCTTTGACTAGGAAAGGGAATTCCCTGACCCCCTGTGCTTCCCAGGTGAGGCGATGCCTCACCCTACTTCGGCTCATGCTCGGTGTGTTGCACCCACTGTCCTGCACCCACTGTCCAACACTCC
The DNA here is from genome assembly GCF_000001405.40 of Homo sapiens. Classification (NCBI taxonomy): domain Eukaryota; kingdom Metazoa; phylum Chordata; class Mammalia; order Primates; family Hominidae; genus Homo; species Homo sapiens. The sequence goes on from NC_000004.12 coordinate 114,616,630, forward strand.
CCAGTGAGATGAACCCAGTACCTCAGTTGGAAATGCAGAAATCACCCGTCTTCTGCGTCACTCATGCTGGGAGCTGTAGGCTGGAGCTGTTCCTATTCGGCCATCTTGGCTCCCATGTATGGTATTAAACTCTGGTATTTTAGCTTTAGTCTCTTTGGAAAAATGGGAAATACAGGGGATTTATAAAATTCTATTTTCATCTTTAAAATATTTCAGTAGTATATTGGGGTGTTCCTGTATCAAATTTCAGCATATATGAACCATTGATACCTAGGCACAGAAGCATTGTAGCTAATCTAACTTGTTTTCTGGAGCTCTAAGGGTTTAAAACCTTTCCTTTGTGCTGTGCATGGTGGCTCATGCCTGTAATCCCAGCACTTTGGTAGGCTGAGGCAGGCAGATCACACGGTCAGGAGTTCGAGACCAGTTTGACCAACATGGTGAAACCCTGTCTCTACTAAAAAAAATACAAAAATTAGTTGGGCACGGTGGTATGTGCCTGTAATCCCAGCTACTCAGGAGGCTGAGGCAGGAGAATTGCTTGAACCTGGGAGGTGAAGGTTGTAGTGAGCTGAGATTGTGCCATTGCACTCTAGCCTGAGCTACAGAGCAAGACTCCATCTCAAACAAAACAAACAGACAAACCCTTCCTTTGGCCTTGGAGAAATCACTTTTACAGATGAACGTTTTGGATGTGCACCCCAATATCCTGATATCTTACTGTTTCACCCAAATTAATTCACACTGAAATGTTAAATGACTTCCCTGTGGTGAGTGGTAGACACACCTATTAAAATGCTTTTGGCTTCCTCTCTTGAAAGCAAGCATAGAAATAATTTTTAATAGAAAGAAAAAAGGGTAGACTGATAATGCAGTTTGTGTAGAGTCTTCAAATATTTGTACATTCTTTGAATTTTGGATTTTCTTCAAGATTCTGGCAGCATGTTACTCCACTGCCAGAATCTTGTAGTCAAATAGTAGTAGTATCCTAGAAGCCAAAAGAGAATTTAGAGAAAGAGAGAATCACTAGTGGCTACTGTTAAATGGAAGTCCAAACAGATAAGTGGAAAATGGGCATTTGTATGAATTTTGGGAAGCGTTAGTGCCCTTAACAGTAAGAATTTGGTTAGAATTGTGGTGGATTCAAAGGCTGACAGTAAACATCTGGGGAGTAAGTGGAGACCAGCAAATAGAGACTGATGTTTTAAGATGCTTAACTCCAAAGGAAGGATGAGAGTAAGGCTCCAGCTCCAGGGATGTGCCAGCTGAAAGCTGTAGAATTACCTACTTTTGGTAGAAATCTTTGAAAATCCTGAAAAATATAAGAAAAGGAAAGAAAATTGTTCAAGTCCATAACCTTAAAATTGTTATCAGTTTCATCTTTACTTTGTTATCATTATAATCACTTTATATATACATATATATCATATACATAATTTTATTTCTGATCTTCTTAGTGTTATGTTACAAGTATTTTCTGATATTAAAATTATTTTCAAACATTATTTTTGAAGTTCTATAATTTTCCATGATAAAAATATAGTGTAATTAAATTAATCTACTGTTGGCTTTATAGTGGTTTCTGGCTGTTTGCTGTTGGCTATGAATGCAATGGACATTTTTCTACATAAGTATTGGTATCTCTGTAGTGTTATAAAATAATATGCCAGTTGTATTTCATAACATTTACACCAGTTTACATTTTCACCAACTTCTTAAGACTACACTGTGCCTTTGCAAGAGTTGAGCATTATCACTAAAAATAACATCCTTGCCGGTTTTATAAGAGACAAGTCTAATTTGTTCATTTGTTCAGTCATTCCACTGTAGCCCTGTCAATGCCTCATACCACTTTTCAGAACTCATGTGTATTTATTTTCTTTTATATTCTTCACTCAAATTTCCAGTGGAGCTTCGGGAGAAAAGGAATGGAAACACTTGTTTTAATCTGCCATTTTAAACTGGAAACCTCTGCTTGCTCCAGATGTTCTAAACATTCCAAAAATATTAATGATTGTGCATTTAAATCTAATATTTGTAAAAGCAATTGTTTGCTTTGCTTTATGCTTATTTTTTTCTCTTTCCAGATAATCCTTTAAAGCTAAACATTTTTAATGGATTTATCTAAAAACTTTTAACACTGTGCTATTCAATTTACTTTAAGGAAGGTTTAAGGTAAAAAATATAGTGATTTTATTTTTCAAATATAAAGCAAATTTTTAACACTATTGAATAAGTTTTTCTTTCCTCATCTATTTGTGGTACTTCCTTCGTCATCTATTAGGCTTATATTTATTCAGGGAATTCCAATAGGCTTCCTACACTGATGCATTGATTTCATGTAGAATTCTTGGGCTAATTCCAGTTTTTAATTATTGGGTTTTAAAATATGTTTTAAGATTTATATGGATATCCCAAATCATTACTGTTTCTTTTTCAAAAATGTATTCTCTCTTCTTTTTATATTTTTCCAATGAACATAGGTATAATTTTGATTAAATTTCGAACAAAACCCAACAATCATCCAGTGGGATTTGGAAGAAATGTATCAGTCTATTTATAACATGGGAAGGATTAACTTTTAGAATATTTTCTTTTGTGAAAACAAAAGTGTTTCTATACATTTAGAAAATATTCCTGTGTATATATCTTCAGGGGAAGTCTGGCCATGTTACAGGCAACAAATATTCTATGTTGGTAATGTAAAAGGTATATTGTACACTTTATTGTTATTGTGAATGAAGTATTTTTTCATCATATGTTACTTTAAAATAATATTTATTTTTATTTCAGTGAGAGTAACACATGCGCACTGTGGATTCCTTTGTGAATACATAAAAGGAAAAGTTAAAACTCTTATAATTCACACTATCCAGAGAAAAACAATACTATTTTGGCAAGTATCATTCCCATATGTGTACACATGTATATATTTTGCAAAGTGCTACATGATGTTTATAATGTTTAGTATCCTAATTTTCAGTCAACATTTAATCTTGAATATCTTATGCCATATTCTTTTTATAAGATTTTTCTAGTGGCTGCATTATATGAATGAATGACAGTGTATTTAACCAATCCCCAGTTGTTGAGAATTTAACATAACTTCAAGATTTGCAGATGGTAATAATCCTCTCCTGCACTAAATGAAATCAGGAGAATACTTAGGGAAGTGAAATATCTATTATGTATGTTGCAGGTTGTATTTCTGAGATATCATTTGTCATTATATTTGTTTATGGTGCATTTGATATGTCTGCATATTTTATTTGTATTGCTTAGTTTGTTTTCTATTGAGTATTTTTCAGGTTTCTTTAATATAAATAATATTGGCTATTATAATAACATAATTATATTAAAATATAAGATAATTATATCTTGACAATGCTATTCTAAAATATAAGCAGTTCATTAAAAATTATGTGATTTCTTTTTACTTTGTAGTAATTACTGAAATAAAATATTAAAATTAAAAAGGAAGAATTAAACAAAAGCACAGTGAAAGCATTTGTTCTCTATGATCATTTTTGTTTTAAGTTATTTATGATAGATAAAGTAGTTTTAACTGTAACTGAACAGAGTGTACCTATGGTCTGCTCAGCTAGATCCAGAACCCAGTGGAGAGACCAGTTTTCTACCATTGTTCCATCATCAAGTACTCACCTCTCGAATATGCAAGAAGTGACAGCAGTGAGCAGTAGCTGCTGGAATACCTACCTGTTTTGGCATTAGTCTTATCCCTGGAGTTCATATTTCCTTGTAAAATATCTCATTTTTCCTTCTTCAGATTTGTGAGAAGGCAACATTGGAGAGACACATAGGTGAGGCAGTACAGTAGAATAAACATTTGGAAGGTTTTTCTAAGATCAGCTCCTTAATTTTCTTTCTTCACTGATCTTGTAATTGTAGTCAACTTTACTATAGAATCAGTATCTTCTCCAAAGTTAATTATTTTTAAAGCCTTATAATAATGTAAGTGACATTTATATTATATGTTTGTAATGTGCATTACTTTTACTTATTCTTAATGGTATAATTTCAACTTTCAAATAGTTTGAAACTTCCCTTAGAGTAGGAGAGGAAAAAAGCATCTGGAAATATATGTATTTTAGAGTTCAATCTTGTTATTGGAAGAATCTATTAGTTGCCTGCTATTGATTTCTTTACATTGCTTGTAGTGTTTGAATGTTTAGAAGGTATAGTTGTTAAAACTGCGTTTAGATGTTGGGAATTTATACAAATAGGAGGGTTAATGTATTCTAAGGAGTAAAAATAGATATCAATTTGGTTATATGTGTGTTGGTGATGTGTGTATAAATCTATTTTGAGATTTTTGAAATGTGTCCAGTTTGCATGAGCAATTGTTTAGATCTTTTTTCTATTTGGGGGTCTAATTTAGAGTCTAAGAATTCATTATATTGAATAGGTTGGTGGGTGTATTTGCACACTATATGGTCCCCACGTATAGTATATTTATCTCTAAAAACAATAAAAGACAACTTTATTACACATATCTGTTAACATGAAAAGGTAGGAGAAGTACTGGCCCTCAAGTGTACAGGCATCCTCTGACTTGACATTTGCACCTGAGTTAAAGGTACAACATAGAAGTGTGGTCTGAGACATAATCATTCATCAGTCCTTTTTCAATAAGTATTTACTGAGATCCATTAACCCTCTTGAGCTTTTCTATTAAAAGTTTCTCTTTTACATAATGCCCTGAAATGCATCAGCAAATTGACATAGATTACATAAATATAGATTGCTAGGACAACTATGGTATTTAGGTAAAGGGAAAATATATGTTAAAGATCATTTTTCCTCTGGAAAAAAGTCTTTTCTGCAGAATTACCAAACTACCATTCAAAATAATTATTTTCTAAAACAATCTTTCTTTGGTATGCTTTGATTATAACTGCAAATGTAACCATTGAATTAAAATGATTTAAATAAGAGACACGTGCTGATATACCTGGAAATTAAAAAGGTCAGCTCTTCTTCCTGGGATTAACATTGACATTCAATTAGAAGATGAACAGATGTTCCATAGATATTTCATAGATATTCTTCCAAAAAGATATATTATGTGTCATTCAGCCTTATCAAAATGTTATTTCAAATGTTTGAAAATAGTTTACTGATTCAATTTTCTTCCCAAACAGATCCATTTTTAATATATTTCAGTTTATGTCAACTTTGCTTTCAATTCTATACTTAAACATAATTGATCTTTCAAAAATAAAGAGGTAATTAGAACAAATATCAGGATAATTTTTAATAGTGATTTTTTTTGTATGTTAGTGTATAATACTATAGAATGCATTCTTTTTTTTTATTATTATACTTTAAGTTTTAGGGTACATGTGCACAATGTGCAGGTTAGTTACATATGTATACATGTGACATACTGGTGTGCTGCGCCCACTAACTTGTCATCTAGCATTAGGTATATATCCCAATGCTATCCCTCCCCCCTCCCCCCACCCCACAACAGTCCCCAGAGTGTGATGTTCCCCCTCCTGTGTCCATGTGTTCCCATTGTTCAATTCCCACCTATGAGTGAGAATATGCGGTGTTTGGTTTTTTGTTCTTGCGATGGTTTACTGAGAATGATGATTTCCAATTTCATCCATGTCCCTACAAAGGACATGAACTCATCATTTTTTATGGCTGCATAGTATTCCATGGTGTATATGTGCCACATTTTCTTAATCCAGTCTATCATTGTTGGACATTTGGGTTGGTTCCAAGTCTTTGCTATTGTGAATAGTGCCGCAATAAACATACGTGTGCATGTGTCTTTATAGCAGCATGATTTATAGTCCTTTGGGTATATACCCAGTAATGGGATGGCTGGGTTCTAGATCCCTGAGGAATCGCCACATTGACTTGCACAATGGTTGAACTAGTTTACAGTCCCACCAACAGTGTAAAAGTGTTCCTATTTCTCCACATCCTCTCCGGCACCTGTTGTTTCCTGACTTTTTAATGATTGCCATTCTAACTGGTGTGAGATGATATCTCATTGTGGTTTTGATTTGCATTTCTCTGATGGCCAGTGATGGTGAGCATTTTTTCATGTGTTTTTTGGCTGCATAAATGTCTTCTTTTGAGAAGTGTCTGTTCATGATTTTTTTTTTAGACAAAGTATTAGATCAGATATTTTTGGGGAAAAATGCTTTGTGATTGCTTGTTTTGAATGGTGAGCATTGTATTTTGTTTTAAGTTGTTTTCTGGTTGTTATTACAGCTATGAAGTCTTACACTCCATATTTCATTCTCCTGTGGAGTGCTGTTGGGATAGCGAAGGCTGCCAAAATCATCATCGTGCCGCCAATTATGTTTGAAAGCCATATGTACATTTTCAAGACGCTAGCCTCAGCCTTGCACGAGAGAGGCCACCATACAGTGTTCCTCCTCTCTGAAGGCAGAGACATCGCCCCATCTAATCATTACAGCCTCCAGCGCTACCCAGGGATCTTTAACAGTACCACCTCAGATGCTTTCCTACAGTCCAAGATGCGGAATATTTTCTCTGGGAGATTGACAGCAATCGAACTGTTTGACATACTGGATCACTATACTAAGAACTGTGACCTGATGGTTGGCAACCATGCCCTGATCCAGGGTCTGAAGAAAGAAAAATTTGACCTGCTGCTGGTGGACCCTAATGATATGTGTGGATTTGTGATAGCTCATCTTTTAGGGGTTAAATATGCTGTATTTTCAACTGGCCTTTGGTATCCTGCTGAAGTGGGTGCTCCTGCTCCATTAGCATACGTCCCAGAGTTTAACTCACTCCTCACAGACCGCATGAACTTGCTGCAAAGGATGAAAAATACCGGTGTTTACCTCATTTCCAGATTAGGGGTCAGCTTTCTGGTTCTTCCCAAATATGAAAGGATAATGCAGAAGTACAACCTGCTGCCAGAGAAGTCCATGTATGATTTGGTTCATGGGTCCAGCCTGTGGATGCTGTGTACTGACGTAGCACTGGAATTCCCAAGACCCACTCTGCCTAATGTTGTTTATGTAGGAGGAATCCTAACCAAACCAGCCAGCCCACTACCAGAAGTAAGGTTTGCCGAATTCCTTGGTAATTCTTTTTTAATGTAAAAGTCAATTTTGATTTTTGGAAGAGATATGATTTGTTATTTATATATATTGTATATATACAGTACACTAAAAGGTGATTAGGACATGGGGCCTCCAAAGTCCCTTTATGTGGGTCCACCACTTCCCTGGGAAACATTCCTGCTTTGAATGAGCATTTCTGTAATACTGAAAAGACCACTATGCCATATGGTCAATAGACTGCCTGGGAAGTAGTTTTCTGATTAAGTAATAGTTATAGTATGTGAGGAGAATATAGTTAAATGGTTAATTTTAATGAGTATAAGTGATTTTATCTTTAATTACACACAGAATCCCCTCTGTTCTGCCCCAAATAGCACAATTAACAGGTATATATGTTTAGCTTCAGGTCAGTGAACAGAGGTTCTTCTCTGGGAGGTTATTACCACTAGTTTATGTCCAATAATGAAAGTGAGGTGGTAACTTCCATCAAAGTAGGGAGTTGGTTAATTTAAGCTAGTAAGTAAATGTAATGGTTTTAAGGAAAGCATGCTCTATTGCAATTTCATTTCAATGATGGAATCAATGGCACTTTAAGAAACTCTGTTCTCTATGTGAAACTTAAATTCTTTTTATTGATTGAGCCAACAGTAAATCCCTTGGTATTCTGTTCACCATCCTTGTTTTTTATTAGGTATCCCACATTAGCAGAAGCCATACACATACCTATTGTTGTAGTGAGTTTTCTAACCTCAGATTGAATCTCTCAATTTAACCTCAACATCAGATCCCATTTACTAGGAAGTGTAGGGCTTGTTGCAGGACTTTATTCAAGTTACTTTTAATCCTACCTCTGGAAATAGCCACTCAAAACAATTTTGCTAAATTGTTGATTTCTAGTTCTGGTACTACATATTAAAAATTCTATCAGGGCCTTGATGAAGAGTAAATCCAGATTTTCTCGTATAGATGAGGACAATCACATGGCTGAATTTTGTCGTGAGGCAATAAGGTGATTAGAAATATACGACCTGTAGGCTTTTCTAATATGGCCATTAGAGTTATAATTAATAAATAATATATCGATATATTTCATATAACATGGAAACAGAAATGGCCTGTACACCCACAGCATTTCAAATATATACAGCCACTGGAGGCCATGAGGGCACACTTGTTCTCTCTGACGTCAACTGTAAAGGATAGGGATTAATCTCAGCTTATCTTAGCCATTCTTGAATTTATCCAAGCTCATTTTGAATCCTCAGATCTTCTCTGGCAGAGTCACCTTCCTAAAGGTAGCTAAAATCAGATTTTAGAAGTAGCTTCTAAAAGATTTGGTAATCAAGGTGTGTCTTTACCTTAACTGAGTCATTTAAAATGTTACACAAATCATCCTTGTTCTCTCTAGGTCATCATCTTTTCCGAGCTAGAACACTCCCCTTCTGCCAGCTCCCTTTGGTTTTCATCTGGGTGATGTCTCTCTTCTTCAGTCACTTGATTGAAGAAGAAGTATATGATGAAAAGGAGCTGGACGCGGTGTCCCATGCCTGTAATCCCAGCACTTTGGGAGGCCAAGGCAGGAGGATCACTTGAGTCCAGGAGTTCGAGACCAGCCTGGACAACATAGTGAAACCTTGTCTCTACAAAAAATAAAAATTAGCTGGGTATGGTGATGCATGTCTATAGTCCCAGCTACTCAGGAGGCTGAGGTGGGAGGATCACTTGAGTTCAGGAGGTCGAGGCCGCAGTGAGCTGAGATCACACCACTACACTCCAGCCTAGGTGTCAGAGTGAGACCCTGTCTAAAAAAAAAAAAAAAAAAAAAAAAAGGAATGTCCTGTCCTGATTGCCTTTTCTTTCCTTCCAGTTCCTGCTGTATATTTGTCTTGAGTTGCAGCAACTTGAATGACACAGTATAAGTGTAGGAAAATATTTTATGTTTTATTTTCAATACTCTACCTTTCAAAAAGATGCATAGCATGTGATAATTTTTTTTCTACCATCCAAGCATTTTTTTCTGTCATGGATTCCTCTGCACACAGATGTCCTTACTAGTGTCACTATTTTGTTTTACATGAAAAACATCTTTTTAGTGGTTTTTGGTGCTCGACATAAGGTATTACTCAAAATATCCTTTAATTTGCCATAATTTCTCATTTGACACTGGCTTGACTTTCTTTGTGGAGTTCTTTTTCCTCTGGGCTATTTGTAGTGGTTCTTTTGAAATGCGTTTTTTGTTTACAAAGTTTGCTTTGTGCCAGTTAGTTTGGTTGCATGCACAGACATGGCATGTGTGCATGTGTTATATATAGTATGTGGACATAGATAAGTATATTATTATTATTGGAAGTCTATTAGATTATCATTGTGAAGGGCTGTTTTCATTTCAGAATGTTATTTATAGTTTTTGAGCAGGGAGTATTTTGAAGAATGATGTGCAGTACTCTTTCAGGTATTCCTTATTCTGGTGTGGTTTTATATGCTTATGAACACATGTTCCCACTGAGATTTTTCTAGTAGATTTATTTGAGATAATAAACTGTACCTTTTCATTCTAAAAGTTAATGAGTTTCTCAAATGCCTGTATTATTTACAGGGCATTGTTGTGACAGTAACACAGGAAGGCCCAGAAAGTAGCTGCGTAGAACACATGATTCACATATAGCAGCTTAATTGTTAATTGCCCTGGTATCTTACACTGGGCATAGATTAGGTTTTCCAGATGTCTGTAAATGATTTTACAGTGGGACTGAATTTCACAACCTGGGATGAAAGGGCAGAGAAAATTTATAAAGGACATTTTAAATAAGCTTTCACAATGTTTGATCCTAAAGAAATCCTGTAGAGAGCATATAGTTCGGCTCCATTCCTTTTATTTATTCTTTCCTTTAAAGTAGGTAGAATAGAGATAGGGAATAGTCCATCCATTTCTCACATAGTAGATACAAAGACTTCATCAAAAGCCACACAGATAGTCTGTGGCAAAGTCAGGTGTAATGTGGATTGTTTTGCTATTTATTAGGTGTTTTTTCAAGGTGATTGCATCTCTTGTCACTAATTTTAGTCATTTACTTACTTACAATTGTGTATAAAACCATGCAGAGACAGCAGTTTTTTGAATCTTATTTATTTTATGTCTCTCAAAGATTGTCAGGGCTTAATACTCAAGTCAAATGAAACCATATGGACTCTTATTTATGCTTTAGAGATTTGATAAACTAAATCAGCCTAAGTTCAAATGCTTTTGATTACAAAATGTTGTGTCAGTGTAGAGTGAAGAAATTGTGTGCCTTGATAGTAGAAATCATTTTAAAATCCATGTTAGAAATGTGCCTGGAAAGACAACTTATCATCTACTACCTGGCTGCCTCTAATAGGAGTCTTTAAACAATGTGGACTAAGGGGAAGAATTCTGAGTTGGATCACATTCATATAGTGGTTTACCTACTCTATCATTGCAGGCCAGTAGAGAACATGGATAAAGATTAAAAAATAAAAATGCTTTGATCAAGAAGGAGGTCTGTAGACAGGTCCCTATTTGAATAGATTCTTTTTTTTTTTTTTTTTTTGAGATGGAATCTCTTGCTCTGTCACCCAGGCTGGAGTGCAGTGGCATGATCTCAGCTCACTACAACCTCTGCCTCCCAGGTTCAAGTGATTCTCCTGCCTCAGCCTCCCAGGTAGCTGGGACTACAGACTAGTGCTACCATACCCAGCTAATTTTTCGTATTTTTAGTAGAGATGGAGTTTCACCGTGTTAGCCAGGATGGTCTCGATCTCCTGACCTTGTGATCTGCCCGTCTCGGCCTCCCAAAGTGCTGGGATTACAGGTGTGAGCCACCGCGCCTGGCCAAATAGATCCTTTAAATATTAAATGTGAATGAAATAATGACATCTAATTGGAAAGTGATTTTAATTTTTATTAATTTTATTAGCAGATAATCCACCAAAGAATAGTACATGTTTACTTAGGGAATCTAATAGTTATTAAAAATAAATGTTTCAAGTGATACTTTTTAGATGATTTCCCATTGGCTGAAATGGCCTACGCTGCCAGGCAGTTGCTCTCTGCCACTTTTCAACTTCTACAGCCTTGAACTCTTATAGCACCTAATAGCACTTTAACTACTGTTTGCTGTTGTTGTACTGTTTTTGTTGTTGTTTGTTTGTTTTACATGGCTCTCTTAACTAGAATGTGAGTACCTCAAAAGGTTGATACTCTATAACCTGAGTGCCTGAAAAATGGTTGGTACTCAATAAAACTTTAATATTTAATGAACTGTATCAAATAGAAATAGTTGCCAAAAATAGGTGATTCAGTTAGTGCAACAATGTTAATATTATAACTATCATCTGTTTGTTCTAAATTTGTGTCTGTATACTGTCCTAGCCATTAAGCAACCCAAAAATCCATGCTAAGTTGTTGAGTTTTTTTTTTAATTTTTATTTTTTGAGATGGAGTCTCACTCTGTCACCCAGGCTGAAGTGCAGTGGCATGATCTTGGCTCACTGTAGCCTCTGCCTCTTGGGTTCAAGCAATTCTCCTGCCTCACCCTCCCAAGTAGCTGGGATTAGAGGTGTATGTCACCACGCCTAGTTAATTTTTATATTTTCAGTAGAGACAGGGTTTCGATATGTTGGCCAGGATGGTCTCAAACTCCTGACCTCAAGTGATTCAGCCACCTTGGCTTCTCAAAGTGCTGGGATTACAGGCATGAGCCACTGCCCCAGCTGGTACTAAGTTATTTTAATGAATTAGAATAACTATTCTAATGTTACTGATAGTGAGGAAAGAAGATAACCATACCATTACCCAATTGTGAACTAAAATAGTCTTTTCTCTCTTCCAAATATGCATATAAACAGGGGCAGTGCTGAAAGTCAGGCCAGCTATTGCTGTCTTGAAAGATGATTTGAGGCAGCATGGCACTCATTTGGTGCTCTTCAGAGATACTATATTTCCACATTAGGAGTATTTATGGCATCTTAAGTTCACCAGTTGTGGAGACATTTTTATTTAAGGAAGCATAGTCTTGGGGAGAGATAAGAGATAAACAGAGATAAGAAAGCACATGGGACCAGGGACTAGACCAGGAGATATTCACTGTTTGTCATTTTGTTATTTGCTGGAACTCCCTCAGAGAATGATCTTGGGGACAATGAGAGATTGAGCAACAGAGTTATTAGATTAGCCACTTGTGAGCAGGTAAGTTTATGAGAAGAAAAATGAAATGAAGAAACAAAATAGTGACTTTCCATACTTGGTATTCCTGATTAACATAGAAGCCATTACTTCCTATTACATATGGTGATTGAAAGCTGGTTTCACCATTAATGAATGAAGTCTCTAGGCTTGGATATGAGACCAGGGTCCTTGGGGGTAAAAGACTTGATCCAGGGTTGCAGCAGATGTGGAAAATTAAGGCCATTTTTATTAATAATTACATATGCAATTTGTTATCTTATGAAATTTAAAGCTGGAGATGTAAAGCTTCATCTATATAGTAGTACTATGCTATGTTGTTAGCTATGTGGGGGTCAGAAAATTGAGGATGACAATGTTTAGAAGAGACTAATAATTTCATTCCAGTTACTAATTCTGAGTTCAGAAATGTTAGTACTTTAACTACTGTTTGTTTGTTTGTTGGATGGCTCTCTTAACTAGAATGTGAGTACCTCAAAAGGTTGGTACTCTATACCCTGAATGCCTGAAAAGTGGTTGGCACTCAATAAAAGTTTAATATTTAATGAACTGTTAAATGATAGTTTGGCAGAAAAAATAAATTCTCTAAGGGAACTCATTAATGTAAAATGTTTTTGCAGATGCTTTATAGGTTAATCATGTATTTTCTTATTATTTTGTAGTAAGAAACCAAATTTATAGTAAGTAACCAAATTTCTTGTTAAAGAAATCTATCCAGGAAGTAAGTAAATCAAGCACTGTTGAAACTATCAATGACTTAACTGTTCAGTTCACTGATACAAAAATTTTCTAAGCAACATTGTAGTTTTTAATAGCTTGTCATCTGCTTCTGTAAGCATTATGGGCTTACAAGGATTTCCTGATATGATAGGAGATCCAATATATGAACGGAATCAAACAAACTTGTTTTGAATTGATATTGCAAGATCTGACATGATTTTAACTCCAGCACACATTGTTAAGTTTTTAAGCTTTAATAAGCCCTAGAGAATTGTTCATTTAGGTATTAAGTCAAATACTGGCAATATTTTTAAGGGAAATATTTTTAACTGATAATTTTTAGAAATGACAAATTTCTCAATTAAATTACTGTTGACACCAGTTTTGGGGGATGATATTCTTCACAAATACTCTTATTCTAAGCCAAACAGGTCTATTTATGAAATTTAAATTGCTACTGCCAAAGGGTTTGTCAGATCTATTTCTGAGCTCAGATTTTGTGGTGTAAGCATGAGCTTGTGACAAATCAGTGGCACTGAAGACAAACTACCTATTTTCTGGCTTTGTATATGAAAAATTGTATTTCACCTTTCCAGGTATTGTTCCTTGTACAAAATACCAAAATGGAAAAACAGGGGCTTTTTTAGTCAAATGGCCCTGACTTTTAGTCTTATCTTCATACGACTCTTTTGGTTAAAGGAATCAGCCTAATTAAAATGAGGATAGCATGTCAGTACTTACTTCAGAGGACTTTTGGTATATGAGAGCCACGACAATACCTGGTGGTGGCAGTTATTACTCTATTACTCTTATTATTACTGTAATAACCCTTGTAACTTACAGTGAGCCAAGAGTATGGAATCACTGATCATTTCTTATTTTCCACATGCTGAGGAGAAGAATGGTTCTCAGGAGAGTGGATAGAGATGTAGGAGGGATGTGGAGCATCTATGGTTTCACCTCTCTTCATTCGGGCTGTTGACACTGGTACTTCTGTTTCCATCTTGGGGATTTTTTTTTTTTCTTTCTTCCATTATTTTTCTTAGTGAAGTAGAAGGACGATGACAATTGTGTGAGATACGTGGTTCTTAGATCACCTGGAGTTTCTTAAGAAATGAACAGAAATTGATAGATATATCTTCTCTAGGGTAGAAAGAAGAATTAAGGGAGTAGCTTCATCAGAATGCTGGCTTCTTTAACCTCTGGGACACTGATTTTTCAGGCCTTTCAGTGGAGGAACTGGGACTCCAGCCCCTCTTCTGCTGGCTCCACACCTATCCATTCTCCTGACTCTGTGATTCTCATTTTTGAGGGAGTTTAAGGGAGAACTCTAGGCAAATAAATGATTGCCTTCCTTCTAGCCCAGCATTGTACTGAATCTCCTCCACACTCAGACCCTGAAGAACTAGACTCAGTAACCTAGAAATGCCAAAAAAGCCTTAGTAGTTTCTTCTAAGATCTAAGGTTCAGACTCGGCAACCAACCCCAATATTTATACTGACTTCTTCCTATATTATTTATTAGGTTGGTGCAAAAGTAATTGTGGTTTTTGTCATTAAAAGTAATATCCCAGCAGGGCTCAGTGGCTCACACCTGTAATCCCAGCACTTTGGGAGGCTGAGGCAGGTGGATCACCTGAGGTCAGGAGTTCTAGACCAGCCTGGCCAACATGATGTAACCCCATCTCTACTAAAAATACAAAAAAATTAGCAGGGCGTTGTTGTGGTGCATGCCTATAGTGCCAGCTACTCGGGAGGCTGAAACAGGAGAATCGCTTGAACCCGTGAGGCAGAGGTCACAGTGAGCTGAGATCGTGCCACTGCACGCCAGCCTGGGCGACAGAGTGAGACTCCATCTCAACAAAAACAACAATAAAAGAAAAGTAATGTCCCATTGTATCCTTTGTATTTTCCTTCAGTATTGTATTCTCTTTCAGTATTGCTTAGATCAGAATTCCATGAAATTCCTGTCGGCACGTGATTGTAGGCCACTTAGTAGATCTGGGGTGGGTCTAATAATTTGTACCATGTTACCTGGTCATGCTGATACTGTTGGTCAGATGACCAGCCACTATTTGAGAACCATTAATTTAAACTCATACAATCCATGTGATCCATAAATTTTAATAGCATTGCGTAATGTATTTTGTATGAGAATCTTTTTTCTGGTAATTAAAGATTTTCTCTGTTTTAGAAAGTTATTTTCAGTGTAAATTGCACCCAAACAAATGGATATGTATCTAGATTTCAAGAACTAGAAAAGCCCTGGATTACACTGTAGATCTGAACAGCTCATTACCTTACAGTTCCACTTTGTGAAACTAAGATGATGCTGTTGAATGATCAGTTCTTGCTTTAAGATATAGATCTAAATAGAGTGGCCATGTACAGCCATGTCAGTAATAGGTAAGGGCCTCAGAACTAATAACTTTCAACTCTTCTCCCTGTTTTAATTCATCTTCACCATTTGCTTTTGGCCTTCGAGTATATTTTGGTAAAGCAGCATTTATTGCTGTTTGTAGGAACCACTTCTAGGAGAAGATTCAAGAATTCTGATTAATATAAACATAGAGAGTTAATTAGCTGGTTAACAGAGCATCCATTCTAGAAAGAGCTGTGAGAGATGAAAATGCTATTAGATAGGAGAGAGAAAAAGAGACAGACAAGCATGTCTTCCTTTGTCCTAAAACTTCAAAGAAGTTCCTATAAAAGTGGTCATTTACATATAGTATTTCATTTGGGTGGCTTTTGACAGGGTGGATTTTCAGAAAAATTATGGTGTTCAAATGCAGGAGGGGAAACTTAAGACCACGTGGTGGATACTAACTTCCCTTGATTTTCTTCTGCTTTTTTCCTTCCTTGATATGTGATAGAGTAAAAATAAACTTTACAAAGTAAGCTGACTTGGTTCTACTTCATTGAATATAGTAACTACTTAATGAATGTCTATTGAATCATTTTATACTGAATTAGATTTAGAGAAAAGGTCTTCTGATAGCATTTAAAAAGATTTGATTTGCACAGATCTTTAAGAAAAACATTAGGTTCTAAGGAATTTTAAATATTTCAGAAACAAATAATGGAGGAAGCAATACTGAGGGATCTCAGGTCAGTCAACTTTTATGTCCCACCCACTTTCATTCCTAGTACGACAGTACTTGCACAGTATGGGCTTTAATACATATGTTTTGAATTAACGTAATCCGAAGTTGCAAAAGTCAATACAGTTGCCTAATTTATTTTGCAAAAATGGAATAAAACTTTTATTACACTATGCATTTCCAGACTTTTTATCAGTGAAAAGCAACTTAATTGACTTGATAAATATTGTTAAAACCTTGGGGCTAACTAAATTCCTTGACTACCATTTTCAGGCCATGATGAGAAACAGATAAACCGACTTGACTTTTTTTTCACTACAAAGTCCTCTTAGAACTTTTTCACATGTATAACATTGAAAAGGTTTTACAAATCACAAAGAGATGGCCACACTTAAAAAGGATAGATGGCCATTTAGTTATACATTGAGTGCAGATTTATTGGGTACCTAATATGTGCCAGGCACTGAGCTAGCAATGTTAAGTGCAGTTCATGGTTTTTTTGTTTGTGTTGCTTCTAGTCTAATAGGGGAAATAATAAAGATGTAAACAAATTAATATGATGCATATTTCCAAAGCTAAACTGCTGTAACAGAAGCCAAAAGAATGCAGTGATAGAAAATAAGGAGTCTTCTCAGACAATCAGAGTAATGCCTCCTGAGAAAGTGGAGAGAGCTGATGGAAGGAGAGTATTCCAGGCAACCAACACCCACCCCAAAGTGGGAAGGACTTTACATTTTGAAGAACTGAGAAAGATCAGTGGGGGCTGAGAAGCTGATGGCATGGAGCTAGGGTAGAGTGACTGAGGTGACCTTAGAGAGATGAACAGAGATGATATCATGCAAAGCCTTGTTCACTGTCCAAGGTTTGGATTTCCTTCTGAGGCTTTAGATGGGCTTTAACATGATTGGATTTACTTTTAGAAAATCCACACTCTGGGCCAGGTATGGTGGCTTTCGCCTGTCATCCCAGCACTTTGGAAAGCCAAAGTGGGCAGATCAAGAGGTCAGGAGTTCGAGACCAGCCTGACCAACTTGGTGAAACCCCGTCTCTACTAAAAATACAAAAATTAGCCAAGCGTGGTGGTGTGTGCCTGTAATCCCAGCTACTCGGGAGACTGAGGCAGGAGAATCACTTGAAGCCAGGAGGCAGAGGTTGCAGTGAGCCCAGATGGCGCCACTGCACTCCAGCCTGGAGGACAGAGTGAGACTGTCTAAAAAAAAAAAAGGATCACTCTGGTTGCTTTGTGGAAAAAGAACAATAAAAGGGGAAGAGAGGAGACAGGCAGGATCAATTGGGTGAATGTTGCAGTAGCTCAGAGGTGCATTGATGGCTGCAGAGATGGTGAGAAGTGGGATAATTCCAAGTATATTTGGGAGGTAGAATTGAATGGGGTGAAGTTGAGTGATGGGCGGTTCTAAAAAACCCAGTTTTCTTGCTTGAGCAACTGGTGGATGGCATTTCCTTGATGCGAAAGAGTAAGGGATGAAGAAGTTCTTTAGGAAAATACATTGTTTAGTTGGGGGCATATTGAATTTGAGAAACCTGTGGGTATATGAGTGGATTCAAAAGTCAAATTGATGTTTGAACATGTGAGCATGGAGTTGATAGGAAAGGTCAATGCTGGGTATTCAGTTGTGGGAGTTACCTTCCAAGAGATTATAGTAAAGCCATGGAAATAAATGCAGTGGCTTATCGACTCTCCAAGGAAGAGGAGGAGGGAAGAGGAGTCTCCAAGAATTCTGAGAAGTCATGACTAGGAAAGGATAAAGGATAACTAGAAAAAGTGATATCATAGGTCCATCCTTTATTGGTGTTGGTGAATTGGATGTTTCCATGAGTTAGTTGGGTATGTATACCTGTGGTCCTGAGTCACTGGACAATTTTAGTTGTTGCTAAGTAGATATATAGTAATAAATGACTAAACTTATACTCTCCTTTAACAATCTTCTTACATTTGTGGCATCAGACCATTGGTAGAGGTGACAGAGTACTCACTGGGAACCAGGTGAATATCTAGTCCTTGACAAGATCACTTTACCTTTTTTTATCACTAAATTGTGAGTGGGTCAGTGATAGGGCTTGGACGGTCTTTAAAGTGGCTTCCACTTCAGTGATGGTGTGAAAGAGAAAATTTTGAGCCTTATACATACATTAAAATACAGACTTCCATTCTTAAATCGTTCTTATTTCTAGTGCAGTTGGCAGATCTCTGATAATTCATAAAGCTGGAGTCTTGCAGAGGATGGACAAGTGAGAGGCATAGAAAAGGATCAGTTTTACAATTTGTGTACTAGTGAAGCTTTTTTTTTTTTTAGTAAACCATGAACAATAATTAGAAATAGACTTAAGACAAGTAATATTTGTTTTTTAAAAACCAATGATTAAAAATTCAGGCCACCATCACTTGAGGTCAGGAGTTCGAGACCAGCCTGGCCATCATGATCAAACCCCATCTCTACTCACAATACAAAAATTAGCTGAGCATGGTGGCACGCACTTGTAATACCAGCTACTGAGGAGGCTGAGGCAGGAGAATCACTTGAAGCCCGGAGGCAGAGGTTGCAGTGAGCTGAGATTGTGCCACTGCACTCCAGCCTGGGTGACAGAGTGAGATTCTGTCTCAAAAAAAAAAAAATTCAAGCCACCATATTATTTGATTTTGTACAATACAGAAAGTACATATTTTTCCCCAGTGAATATAATTGAATTACCATTTTTATTGAAAGACTTTTTTTCTTCAACTATAATCTTAAAGAGAATTTTGAAATGCATCAAGCCATATACATAATTTTCTTACCTTTTAAGAATTATACCTTTCAGCTTTTTGTGATAGAGAATTTGTGGAAAAGATTTTGTAAAATATTTATTTAGAAACATTTTAAGGAAAAAATTGAAATTATAGAAAAATGCTTCAAGCTTTTGCAAATTTATTTTGGTAAAGTTCAAATGCTTTCCCCCCTCATAAAAAAGATCCATTTATTTCAGTTAAGTTTTAAGTATATCGCTTTGTAAATAAAACTTCAAATGAGGCTTGTTTACCAGATCTTTACAAATTTAAAGAGCAGAAATGTATTCTGATGTGTAATTTGAATCAGTTTCCTGTTATGAAGACAGAAAAGTCTCCATTGTTTCCAATTTTTAGAAGCATTAGATGTTACAAGAAGAGATAATGTAAGAATGAAAAGAGAAATTATTTATGTACTAGATTATATACAACTTTTCATATGAATACAAAAAAGCTCATTTTTCAGAACATATGGGATTCTGATAATGTTTTGATATGGATGGTATAGTTTATCCCTCTAGACTTGCTTAGTAATAACTTTAGTCTTTTAAAATTACGGTTTAATGGAAATCATGGTAATATATATGTGATTTCAGCTGAATACATTATTTAAGCTAGGCTTATTTTCCATCTAGTCCACATAACTTTTTAACAGAAATGTCAAATAATACATAGATACAAGCTTTATTCACATATTGTATACAATCAGTGCTTATGTTGATTACTTCTTTCAGCTGAATAGGGAATAAGGCCTCAAAAGGTTTATATCCAGTATTTGAGTACTTTTGTTATTCTCTTTAAAAAGTCAGTATTAGGCACTACTGGTTACTACCAGCTGAAGCCTTACACAGCTGTGTATTTAGCATTTAATCATGCTAAGAATTGCTAATTAGAAAATCAAACCGGACAAAGCATACCCAGTGGAGTTGATACAATACCATTTCTGTTTGAGAACCATAAATAAATAATCTTTACGCATTAGTGTTTCATTATAAGCATTTGTGCTGAATGTGGCAATATTTAACAAAATGTTTTAACTCACTAGAAATAATTTCTTGATATTATCCTTTCACAGAAATCCGTAATCTCTTTAAAATATAGCCAGCCTTATCAAAATTAAGTTTCTATTTAGCCTTTGATTTCTCTTTTTTTACTTTCTTCTATTCTGCTCCATTTCAGCATTCTGCTGCCCCCTCTCCCTTCCCCCAAACTTCCCGCTGCCTTCTCCACTCTGCTTTGTTTTACCCTACATTGGAACCCTGTGGCCACAAACCAACTGTAGCATCCTCAGTTAACCTTATTGTGGCTCAGGCTCCAAAATTCCCTATTCCCTTCTCTCTCTCTGTGTTTTTATTTTCTTAAATTTAAACCGCTTTGTTTCTAAACCTCAGATACACTTAGCTGCAGCAAAGAATGAGGGAAAAGACATTCATTCAACACTATGTGTTAATGGCTGATAGCAATTTAACATATTACCTTTCAAGCAGTAGTGAATATTTTATACTGAAATTGGAGGTCTAGTAACAGTGAGGCATTAGTCAAAAGAATCAATACCAGCAGCATAATCTGGTTAGTAAAAGTCAGAGAGGTAATGGTTCCAGAGGATTAGGAGGACACAATATGAATGCCCCTAATACCAGTTTTATGGTCCACTCCTACGGGCGATTATGGCTCAAACTTTGAGGAAGGAGGTAAGGCAGCATTTTCATCTGCATCTCACATCTCACGGTCTTTGTGAGTTCTACAATGCTACAGTGCCTGGCATGGTGCTTAACATCCTCCTGTAGGTTTAATTATTTCTTTTCTGATTTGAGAATAAAATAGGCCGGACACATCCCATGTTGCTGTTTAGACTGTACATATTTTGTTGAGTATGTGTTCTTGTTTAGAAATATACATTTTAGGAAGTAATGAAGTTGCGATTTCCTGAAATTCAGTAAGTACACACTTAGTTTTAAATGAGCTGCATTTTTAAGAGAACATTTAATGGAAAACCAAAGATCTAGAGTTTTGGTGTCATTTCTTCTACTAACTCCAGTAATAAACAGACTTTTTCTGGAGGTCTCATTTACCTGAACGACACCAAGAGCTAGAAAGAAAGTCACAAAGACATTTGAGAGGCCAAAATAAATGCCAAAATGTCCAGGAACTAACATTTATTTACTTGACTCACAGTAGCTGCCCTTAGGCCTTCATCACGCAGAGTTAATTTATTCCAATTATATACCTGCTAAACAGCTTGGTTATTTTATTTCCAAGCCTATGAAGGTTAAAAACAGCAAGTACATTTTTGAGGCAGGCATGCTGAAAGCAATGAATACTGACAATTTAATAACCTGACAGAACAGAGAGATCCAGAACTACTTCATCATGATAGGCCCACTTTATTCATTTGCAAAATAAAGAGTTTGGGCTAAACGAACCTTCAGAATTACAGGCTAAAATACGTAACCTCATACTTGTTTTCTACCAGATTAATATATTTTAAACCTCTGGCAGATTTTTTTGAAATTAACTTTACCATAGAATACATATATGATATACATTTAGAATGACATGTGGTGCTTGTTTTATTTACTTAAAACAGCAAAAAATACCCTTTTATCATTATGATCAGACCGGAAAATGACACTTAAAAATAGTAAATCATGTATTCATTTAAATCCAGTGACTGTGTTAGCTCCTGAGAAGACAAGATTTAGCAGAACACAGTTGATTTTTGCCCTCATTGAACTACGAATCCCATTATTCAACATTTAGAAGTGCTATGAAGGAAAGCATAGGGTGCTGAAGAGTATGACATTAGGGCCTGGGAGTAAGGAACAGGGTCATTATGAGCTTTTTACATGAGGGTTCCAAGGGTGTTCCACTGTAGTTTTTCCATCCCTGACTTTTGGATCTGTGCTAAGAAAATGTTTACTAGGTAACTGACATCAAGACCCTCTGGAGAGCCCAGTAACTAAAGCTCATTAACAGACGAGGCAAATTTTAGGAGCATTCATCTGTCCTCCCTCCATCTGTTTTCCTTGCTCATTTCATTTCTTTCCATAGTATTTTATTGAAGGTCACCACGTGTGAGACACTGTACACTGTCACTTTTAAACTCATCTCCTGTGACAGAGAGCAAGGAGCTCCTTCCTCCTAACATGACTGACATTTTAGGTCATTCTGATCTTTGGTTATGCTGAATGTTCTCTACTTTATTGGAAAGTTTAATTCCTCCCACTGGCTACTTGTTTGGGTTATGAATTCTCTACATCATTTTGTGATTCCACTAAGTTTTGTAGGTCTGTTGTGGCCCATTTATACTCAGGCCTGACTGGTATTTTTACATATCTCTTACTGCAGAAGATTTTCTAGCTTCCATTCCAAGCTCACTGAGGATTTCTCACAGACTTTCCTAATATGGTGGGGATCTTAGTAGAGAATATTTATCCTTGTAAAAGAAAATGCCCAGCCCTTCATACCTATATCGTTGGCTTATTCTATTACTTATTGGAAAATATTTATTGAGTACCTGTCAACTGCAAGAGACTCCATTAGATGCTGGAGATACAAAATAAAATGCCGTAAACCTTAAAGCCCTCAAAGATCTTTCAGGCAATCTATAAGTTTTCTAGCTCACTGTGATTCCAATGTCCTTTCCATTTGTGAAAGAACACCCAAATGGAAATAAAGAATAGCAGTCTCTGACTCTCTTCCACACTCATTATCAGACTCCATTCACTCAGTCATTCATCAATTCTCTCAGCAAATATATATTCAGTATCAGGACCTATTCCAGTCAGATACTCGAAGAACCTGCCACTACAAGCCTCATCTTCTAGGTGTTCTGATGTCCCTGGTTCTCTTGTTTAACATAAGAACATTCACATTCTCATTAAACCTAGGTGTAGTTGAAGCCAAGAGTTGGAATGGGATTATGTATCCAGAAAGTGGTGCCATGAAAGGTAGCCTTACTGGCCTTTAGTTAATTTGTAATGAAGAATCTGTGTTTTGTAATCTTTCCCATTACTTTGCTTTGCCTTTTCTTCTTTTATTGTCTCTTGACTTTTCCATAACAACTGAGCATGGTGCCTTTTGGAAACCATCTTTGAGATGACCTAAGGAGGTTGGTTGGTACTAGAATGAGCACAGGTTTTAACACAAGGCAAACCTGTGTTGTAATCCTGGGTTTACTATTACTAGTTTTAAGTCATTGGGAAAATGATTTAATTTCTCAGAACTTCAACTTATCCATGAAATGTAAAACAATAAACAAAATAAATTGTGTTAAGTACTTGGCACACAGTAAACCTACTTCTCCTTAGTTGCCTAGTGTTGTCTTCCTGAAACAGAGCTTGCCTGGAGGAGAAGGGGATCATATGAAAGCAATGAACTGGAATCAGGATGATGGATGCCTTATTGGGTGCAGGGAACATCAATTGTTGACTTCAGTTTAGTGTCATATTTAGTGCATTTTCCTTTTTACTGTTAAGATCTTATAGATTGATAGTTTCATGTAAAAATATGTTTGTTTGTTTTTTTTTTTTTTTGAGACGGAGTCTCGCTCTGTCGCCCAGGCTGGAGTGCAGTGGCGCGATCTCGGCTCACTGCAAGCTCCGCCTCCCGGGTTCACGCCATTCTCCTGCCTCAGCCTCCCGAGTAGCTGGGACTACAGGCGCCCGCCACCACGCCTGGCTAATTTTTTGTATTTTTAGTAGAGACGGGGTTTCACCGTGTTAGCCAGGATGGTCTCGATCTCCTGACCTTGTGATCCGCCCGCCTCGGCCTCCCAAAGTGCTGGGATTACAGGCGTGAGCCACCGCGCCCGGCCAAAAATATGTTTTTTAGAAGAAAAAAGTTTCTCAGGTTTCTACTTCTATTATATTTTCCAGGAGGAATACATTTATAGGTATTGACTCAAGTAGGCCCTAGCTGACATCCAAAATAAAATAAGAGATTTTTTTAAGTGTTAAAGTTAAAAAATATGTATGATATACCCTAAGGTAGCTGGATTTTATTTAATTCAAAGACATATGCTAGGAGATCTCACCAAAGGACCTGTATTAGTTCGTTTTCACACTGCTGATAAAGACATACCTGAGACTAGGCTGTTTACAAAGGAAAGTGGTTTAATGGAGAGCCCACAGTTCCATTTGGCTGGGGAAATGTGGAAACTTCCACCATGGTGGAAGGCAAAGAAGGGCAAGTCACATCTTACATGAATGGTGGCAGGCAAAGAGAGAGATTGTGCAGAAAAATTCCTGTTTTAAAAATCATCAGATCTTGTGAGACTTATTCACTATCATGAGAACAGCACGGGAAAGACTTGCCCCCATGATTCAATTACCTCCCACCGGGTCCTTCTCATAACACATGAGAATTCAAGGTGAGATTTGGGTGGGGACACAGCCAAACCATATCAGGATCTATCTTAGAAAATATCACCAAAAGGACAGGCTAGTCTTACCTTATGTGAATCTCTGATCTTTGTGGCATTTTAGTCATTGTTATCGGTCATAGAGTATTTCTGTGGAGAAGTTCTACTAAACTTTTGCATGTGCTGTGTTCAAAAAAAGCTGGCAGGCAATATGTAAATGTAATAGTTAAAATTAATAGCCTTAAGAAAAGCTAAAGCTAAAGCCTGAATTAATAATTTGTAATGAATCTTTATCAACTGATAATCAATTGCTGCTAAAAGAACCACAAAAGCTCTACTATTGGTGGCATTACTATCTTCATAGACAAGGTTACCCTAAAATAAGAGCATCATTAGGAGCTTATTCCTTCCCTTTCATCCGTGGGAGAAATCTGTTCCTCTTTGTTCAGTCTCACTTTGTTTTTATTCCCACAATCAAAGCAATACTTGGAATTTTGATTATATTAAATTTGAGTTTGGTAACTGCCCTGGATGACCCAATCATAGACTCCAATTCACGGAAGCTATGAGAGAGTTATTTCATAATTTAAAATGTTAGACCTAGAAAATTTTCATAATACGTTAGTTTTTTAAAAAACTGTGGCGTCTGTAAACCCTAATGGATGCTGGATGCTAGACACAGGTTTATTCATATACGTTTATCTGGCCAGGGTTACAGTGATATGAAGACCTCTAATCTATTGATGATATTTATTGATTCATAAAGCGAGAGATTAACCATTGTAGTAAAGTGACTGTAGTAACCCATGTAGTAAACCACTGTAGTAAACTGGAGAAAAACGAGAGAGGAGAATGGAACAGAAAAAAAATTTATTAGATTTTTGGAACCTGAAACAGAAACAAACTTGAATAAATTATAAGATCAAAATTTCTTTATTGCCTGAATTAATCTTCTCATTTTCTTTTACACTTTGACAGAAAAAGGAAAAGTTGGTAGACATTATATTTTTCGATATAGCTGTGTACTGAAAATAAAATCAACGTGACTGATAGTTTCAAAAGTGAATTTGAGATGTTACAAGATGACATGCAATAGTTTATAAGTTGGAAATTTACATTAAAGGGATATAAATAAATATCAATAAAAAGAGGAAAGGGGGCTTATTATCCTTGTAAAGTAGTTGAGATGGGAATTAGTGCTACCTAGATGCTTAACAGCCTCCTCTTGTTAAAATTGTTAACAGGACCCTTATGTATGTAATAGAATTGTAAGGTCAGATGCAGCAACGTGTAGCTGAAAGATGATGAGCTTTTTCAACGTATATTAACCTTTGTTGACTTTTTTTTTTTAGCGATTTATATCTTTGAGATAGTGGGACTTTCTGAGTCTTCTGTTCTCATTTTTAAGGGAAACGATCTATTTTATAGTGTTGTTTTGCAGTTTAAATGGGATAATAAAGTGAGAAAGCACCATTTTCTGCCATGCTCAGCACATATTAGGCCCTCAATGAGCAGTAGGTATTACTTAGCTTGTAGCAAGATTAACATATGATTACAATTTTTGGGGGTAGAGTTTTATTGATGTGTTCTTCCAATATGAGACTGCTCAGCTAAACCTGATATTTTTTACCAGCTAACTTCTCAGGCTGTGACTATTTTGCTTCCTGAATCCTCCTATATTTTCACTTGAATGAGCAGCTGTATATTGAATCACCCAGCATGGACAGCTGAATAAACTAGCCCTCATCACTGCAGTAAATAAAAGCTCATTTTATTTATTTCATCTTTCTTGTAGCTGTTTTAGTTTGTAAGCAATAGGATTTGTTCGCTTGTCATTTGGCTTTCTTTTGGTGTATGAGAAAAATGTATTTCAAAAAAATTGTTGTTTTAAAGGCCCTTAAGGGGAAAGTGATAGAAAATAAATAGGGTGGAATTGTTTAATGACAATATTTTAGAAAAATTCTTTTTAATGCAGAATATGGTATTTTTATTTTGTGAATTATTATCTGTGGGTCTCTGAGATCAACTATGTGATCTCTGATTAGTATCATACCTCAATCAGAACAAAATTAGAAACAACTACTCCTTTAAAGGATTATTTTTGTCCACAATGGGACATAGCTTTTTTAGATATTTGAAAGAAGAACAAAGGCTTTTTTGGTTCTTATTATTTTAATGTTGTTTTAGTTTGTATAATTGTAGGTGAAGGTCCAAGGTAAAAACTATGAAACAGTAGTGCCCAGGACTTAAGATGCACAGTCACATACTCTCTGACTTTTTTGTTTGTATTAAGTTATAAAAACAATGTCTGGATGCGGGTCAATGGCAGTGGCTTCTGGGTAATTAGGCAGTCATATTCAGGAGAACAGAAAGAAATACTATAAACAGAAGTTTAAATTTTAATAGTTACACAGGTTTGGAGAATGATAGTGCACCTAAATAAGCCACTTGAATTACAGTTGGGACTAATAATTAGGCAGGACTGTCCTTTAAAAAAATAGCACCGAGCCATATAGTAACCAGAAGAAGTTGTTCTTGTTTTGTGCTTTTCCATTTGGTACTGATAAAGAGAAACTTATGGGGATTAGAAAAAATGTTATATTATCACATTTTTCTGAGTGAAGCTAATACTAGTTAACCTTTAAATAGCTTCAGGGCATTGTTTTAGATAGTATTTCACAAACAAAAGATAAATCACTCCAACTGTATTTCCTTCTGATAGTGCTGAGCACAGTATGTATTTGGCATTATGCACAGTAGGTACTCAGTGAATCTGTTGGACAAATAAATGCATTTGTAGTTTTTACATCAGTTTCTCAGGTGGTGGAAAAACTAAGACACTAAGCATATTACATAAGAGTTAGAGAAAGGGAATCACTTTGGCTAACATAGGCATTTTTTTTTTTAATATGCTATTTGGATCCCTTAAAAGCCACAACACATCAAACATGAAATACACATTTCTCAAACTCTCAATGCTTCTTTCTTTCTGGTTTCAAGAAATACTGGTGGTTCCTCCTTAGAAATGTCATCTATATTTTTCTGTTCCATTTTATTTCTACTCCCATTTTCTGCAAATTGCTGTGACCTCGCGTGTGAACAATTGCAGCGCCTACTACCCTGTTTTCCAGGCTTTACCCTTCAGCCATGGTGCCTTTCTTCTCTGAATCTAATCTACACTGAAAACAGTGACTGAATAATCTGCAAATAACACAGCACTTGTTATGCCATTTCTCTCTTGAGAAATAGTTCTTTTGGGGCCCCATGTGTAAATGATGATAAACACAGCCTGAATTCCCTCTCAAAGTTTCCTTATATTTTTCAAACCTTGAAGATGGTTAGGAAGTCTGTCTGTGAATTGCATGTGTAGAGTGCTATAATTAATTATAGCAGAAGAAGCTGAAAGTAGGTTTAAGGAGCTAATAACCAGATTAGGAATATCTGATGCTGGCAGTCAGACCTACCTGTTCATTGGTATCCTTCTCATTTTATGCCTCACAGTTATTCACTTCAGGTAAACTGATCTGTTTCCCATTTTTAACATCACTTCATTTGGAAGGCTTCCTGGACCCTTTGATGTTTTTATCTGAATCCCATAACCTATTTTAGCATATCACATTGAAATGCAATGATTCTTTTACTCACCTTTCCCTGCTTGGACTGTGATGAGTTCTTGGCCCCTCATTTGGACCTCTTGAGGTAGGCACTCATTGTCTCCCTGAGGCTGGTATATTATAGTCCTTTCATAATCATAAACTGAATGGATGAATTGATACAATTTATAATTTGTGATCTATGCCTTTCAAGCCTTTTGCTGCCTAAAATGTTCTATCCCTTGCTTTATGCCTATTAAAATCACACCTATCCTTCCTCTCTTTCAGTTAATGCTTATTGAGTGCCTCATATCTGCAGGGTGTGTTGAGCATGGAGTTGTCAACATACATCTCTGCATGGTCCCTCTACAGCTGAAAGTGGCCCACTTGCCTCTTAAGTTATCATTCTTAGGCACTACTTTCACATGTAGTTATACATTCAAATCTTTATGTCTTAATATTCCTAATCTGGTTATTAGCTCCTTAAAGCTACTTTCAGCTTCTTCTACTATAATTAATTCTGCTATATTCTTCTACTATAATTAATTATAACACTCTACACATGCAGTTCACAGACAGACTTCCTAACCATCTTCAAGGTTTGGAAAATATAAGGAAACTTTGAGGGGGAATTCAGGCTGTGTTTATGTTGAAGAACATTCAATGAGCAAAAAAATTAACAAATCCAAATATTGGTTAAAAGTTGTTAGCAAGCCATGGGAACGTGAATGAGGATAAGCATCAAGAGTTTCACTACCAAGTTCTCTTTAAAACAATCCCAGTGGTGATTGGTTGGTGAGTGCTTACCATGAAGAAGTGTAGTGTTGAGTTCTTTACATGTACTATTTCATTTTATCCTCATGATATCCTATGAGGTGTAAGAAGTATTGACAACCCCATTTTCCTTATCAGGTAAGAGAAGATGAGTAATATCATTCAAGTCGCATAGCGAGATATCAAGCTCAGGTCTTTTTGAATGCCTGTATTTCTAACCACTGTTTTTGGACACTATAGAGTTAATTTTTTTTCATCACGCCATATTACACATAATATTTTTTTGTGCTTCTATATCACATTGTTAGAAAAATACCACAAATGGTAACTGTGTACTAACATTTCTAATATTTTATACAAGATGAAAAGAGAAATAGAGACAAGAAGGAAAATTCTCTTATGGTCATCATAGAAAAACCTGCTTATACTAAAGAAGTAGTCATCGAATATATACCAATGACCTTAAGTTGACATGTCATCTGGGAAAAGACAATTTCACAAAGGTAGATTTGTTAGATTTGTGCCTTGATATGATACACATGTATGGCTTCTATTTATCTGAGTTGTATAGGGATAGATTAGTGAAATAGGTAGATTTTACACATTTCAGGACTCTGTTGATTTAGCAAATGTTTACTGAGTGCATACTGTGAGATAGAGCTTGTCTAGGTTGAAGGGACAGAAGAGAGAATGAAACAATAATGTACATTTTTAAGCAGGAAGTCAGATGTAAGCAATTAAATAGATAACTGCACAGAGACGGAATATCTTTTTCCATATTATGTAGTATATGTAATAAGAAGTATTGCAGAGTATCTATTTATTGATCTTTCAAAGTGAATTAGCTCAGGAGATATACTTAGATATACTGTTTTGCAAGATTTATGTCTGATATGATACTTAAAGAAGAACTTCCACAGGATTGATTAGTGACAAAATAAAAGTGCCTTTCAGGGAAAAAATTCTAGTTTGTTTTCATTGCCAATTAAAAGAACCCCGAATCAGATATCTTTATTTGAACAAAAGAGCAACATAAACTATTTGTTTGAAATTCAATGTGAAAAAAGCTGCTAATTTAAGGTATATCAGATGAACATTATATATATATATCTGTATATACATACATATATCTATATCTATATCTATATATATATGCATAATAAAACACTTCAGCCTTAATGTCATAGAAACAATGTGATAAACAGTGAAGTTGTCATCATTATGATAATAATCATCAAGAGTATCATGGGCATAATTTCTGTTTTAATGAAAAAAATTATTTTCCAAAAGTAGCATTTCACTACTGGGGTTTCACAGGAGAATTAAGCCCTGCAGAAAGACACACAGATAGTACCATTTCCAGATGCATTCAAGAGAAGTTAATTCATTGTACACAATGGACACCTTGGATAGGGCATTAGTTCTAATTCTCTCACAAAACCAGAGATGAGAAAGCAAATTGGCAAGTCTCTTGAAATAGATTTCCATGCTATGTGATGCTAATAATTCATGATTATGATGTAGTGTTTTTTGATATGCCTAGAAATGACAATATTTTTTGTTTCAATTTGGTCAAATTGTTGAGGCCACTGCCACGTTCATGTTGGAGTCATAGTCCTGCAGAAATGCACTTCCACAATCACTGGGGACAGGCTTTTGTGAAGTTTCAGAGATTGAGACAGAGCTAAATCTTTTGGAATTCAGAAACATGACTATTGATCTAGGGAAAGAAGCATGTTTCCGTCACTCGGATTTAGTCTGAACTCTTCATTCTAAAGCAGTTTGATTCTGTTTGTAGAAGTATACACAACTAGAAACAGATTGACAATTTCAGTGGTAAATAATTTATTCTTTTTAGAAAGTCATATTGACACCTGTAGAGATTTTATAAAATATATCAATTATAACTTTAATTTGTAAGTAGTCTCCAGTAGTATTGCCTGAGATGTTATAAAAGATGTCAACTGCTTCCTTCCTGAGGATCTATAGTAATAATTTGTGATTTTCTTTTATGTCATTACTTACAATGACAGTTAAATAATAACAACCAATGCTCGTTGAATGCTTTTATATACCAGTTACCATTCTAAACAATTTACATGAATTAGCTCTTTTGTGTGTGTGTGTGTGTGTGTGTGTGTGTGTGTGTGTCTCACTCTGTCACCCAGGCTGGAGTGCAGTGGCGCTATCTCAGCTCACTGCAGCCTCAGTCTCCCAGGTTCAAACGATTCTCCTGCCTCAGCCTCCTGAGTAGCTGGGACTACTCAGCTGCCACCATGCCCAGCTAATTTTTTTGTATTTTTAGTAGAGGCGGGGTTTCACCACATTGGCCAGACTGGTCTCGAACTCTTGATCTCAAATGATCAGTCCACCTCAGTCTCCCAAAGTGTTGGGATTACAGGCATGAGCCACCAGAATTAGCTCTTTCAAGCCTCATAATATCCCTAGAAGGTAAGGACTGCTTGTATCTCCATTTTCAGATTAGGAGCATGAGGTCCAAGGAGGCTAAGTGACTCTAGGGTACTGGAATTTGCAAAGATTACACAGCCAGTGAGGGGCAGAAGACAGAATTTGAACTCAGGCTGCTGGCTCTTAGGCATCACCTTGCCTCTGTCCCTTATATCCTCTTATTGCTTTGTCCTTGTTCTTGACGGTTAATTGACATAACTGTGGAAGAAATTTTGTGAACATAGATAGATATTCCAATTCATGGACAATGTCATGTTCTTGCTTATTTTTATGTTTAGTGGATGTCAGTTCGGTGCACTGTTTGCCAGAGAGATTTTCTTATTTCCTGAAGACTCTAAAATCCACTTAATTCAGCCTGCCTTCTGAGGTCCTTTGCCTAGTTGACTTTTCATATATAATAAAAGATTCCTTGTTTTGATTCCCTTTATTTCTCTTCATTGTATAGGATAGAATGCCATTCCAACATATTTCAGCTTACTCAGAGCAGATCAGTATGTGATAACATTTATGTGCTTTATTAATACTCAAAAGCATATGAGAAATGAGCAGTATGCACTTCTTGCCTGTGGTGAGGAAGGAGGGGTTGTAAATGCTGTGAGCATGAGCATGTATGTTCAGTAGTATCATTAATATGTGATCTCAGACACACAGAAAATCTGGTTTTTTTTTTTTTTTTTTTTTAGTCAAATCGGATTCAGGATACTTAATGAATGGTATTTAGGCTGTATTGTAATAGTTTTGGGAAAGGCATTATTTTTTAAATCTTGCCATTATGGCACAAAAATGAGACTTCAGGTATATATAATTTATTTCAATTTTGTCATGGATTATAATTAAATAAGAATATATTTATGAGGAACAAGCTGTTGACATGTTTTTAAAACTTCAGTTGCAGAGCTTAGGGTAGATTAATGCCTATGCAATAAAACAAATTCTTTTAAAGGAAAGAAAAGAATGACCAGCAACTACAAAGTGTTTACCAGTTGCGAAATTGGTTAAGATTTCTTTATGTATATCATTGTTTGTCCCTTCAAATATATGGCATAAGGGAAGAAAAAGAAATGTAACTTTGGGGAATATAATATAAAGTAATTTCTTACCATTGAGCAAATTTGTAAAAACATATGAATTGCTTCAATTTATTAACTTTATCCTTCTGAGGAACTTTAAATAGCCTAGATTATTTCACAGAGTATAATAAGGCCATGCTAATATTTTAGGATGGAGGGCACTGGACTAGAACATAGAACTGGAGCTTAATTCTAAC
Organism: Homo sapiens; assembly: GCF_000001405.40. Taxonomy (NCBI): domain Eukaryota; kingdom Metazoa; phylum Chordata; class Mammalia; order Primates; family Hominidae; genus Homo; species Homo sapiens. The sequence goes on from NC_000004.12 coordinate 114,648,979, forward strand.
TCTGCTTCTGATTACCTCCTAGCAGTTAATATCTTTCTTCAGTTTCTTCAGCTGGAAAATAAATTACTAACGCAATATGATTTTAGCTTTTCTTTAAAATTAACGATGCTGGGGATAATATTGGATAGCATATTGGATATGTAATTTCTGATCCCTAGGGTACTAGAGGTTGCCAATGTAGTGTGGGTAGAGTATTCTAGTTTTAAAGCAACTCAAATGACACAGAGATTAGTATTATACTAATAATTTACATTGCAGTCCTTCTCAAACCTGCACACCACAGAGGAATCAGTTTGCCTATTTGAGTGATACTGGCCTAGCCATATTTACAGTCAATCAGAAGCGTGAACATTTATTGATTTATTTGAAGTCTCCTGTTTTGTATTCTTCTTTGTGGTTGCGTCAATTAAGATTATGTTTTAACACACATAATTGAAAAAAATTAAGTAGCTATACACAGTGGAAGTTTATTTTTGTGTCACATAAAGGAAGTTCTGAGATAAGCAGTCCAGGGTGGTATGACAATGCTGAGAATCAGTAGGGACCCAAGCTGCTTCAACACTCTGCTCTACCATCCTCCTGTGCAACCCTCAACCCCACGGTCAAGATGGCTGCTTGGCTGCTGCATTCTGGCCATCAAATGGTGCATTTTTGTTACATCTCATTGACCAGAACATTGGCTAGCTATGTGTCCACACTTACGTTCAGCTAAGACTAGAAAATGTAGTCTTTAGCTGGGCTGCAGTATGCCCGGCTAAAAGTTGGAAGTTGTTACTAAGGAAGTGGAGGAAGTGTCTTCCACAATGATCTACCTATGTTTGTTTTCTTATTTTAAAAAAAAACCCTTAAACTTTATGAATTAAAATTAAAATTTCATCTTATGTCTTTTATAGTATTAACTCCTTGGTACACTTTTGTGTTTTTTCACTTTGAGAAGTACTGATTTTTATGTGATTATTTAAATTCAATAAACACTGATATAAAATTATATGTGAGCTGCTAATTAAAAGCAGCAATGTTTTGGATCAGTGGGTTTTTTAACCACTTTCATTGGTATGCAGAGATTTTACCCACCCTGAGCTCACATGGCGATTCTGCAATTGCCCTGAGGACTTGAAGTGTATTAGGATCATTGATTCTCCTCTCTTCAGGTGCTAAATCTTTTGGGGTGACTCCAGCTGTGTAGTCACATTTGTTGCCTTTGGAGTTGCATTATTTCAGAATGCCTGGCAATTGGCTTGCCTTGGAGACCTTTTCCAAGCATCTTATCTGCATGTTATCTTCCTGGAACCTTTTGCAAATAGCACTTATTAAAGAATTTTTCCACATTTGTATCTATTTAACCCATTTATGCCGGAGGTTGCAATTTTTTGAATTTTTGCATGATTGGAAAATCAGAACTTGGTGATGACTTGAGCAGTAGGATATAAATAACTCCCACATGCATAGCATTCCAATAATGGAACACTAGCCATAAGTGGGTGTGAGCTATTTTTTAAAGCCTCATATCTTTTGAAGCAGTCTATTACTGCAACTAACAAATATATTAAAGTTGATTTGTCAATTTTTATTTAAAGTATAATATATGTATTCTTATATTTTATGAGATACTTAGTCCAATATCATGACTACGATTTCCCATTCCTTAGAAAGAATTGTTTTCCTGGGGATGTTTCTGACTTTTGGTCATTGGTTTTTAATCTATTTTGTGGCATATTCAGTTTGTCACAATCAGTCTTCAGGTTACAGGAATCCAGAAGAACTCATAAATTCAGGGCTTTGTTTAAAAACAACAACAACAAAACAAAACAAAAACAAAACTTTTGCGCCTACTCTTTCACTGATATATTTCTTTCTTGCTTTTTCATACAAAGGTTTTGATTCTGCAGATATGCAAGTTTTTTTCTATCCTGCAACACCTTTTTTTTTTCATAGAACATGTCATTTCCGTTGCCCAAAACATCCTTTTTCATCCTGCCATTTCCTGTCTCTGATATAGACTTTCCTACCTGAAACTCACCTTTTCAGAAACTCCTTACTTGATTGATCCTGGAAAGATCTTATCTCTACTTTACTTAACATTCCTTCTGTACTTGTGTTCTCCAATTGCCTAATCTTAGACTCAGGTTTTTAGAACTTGACAAGATATTTGAGACCTTTGCCAGCATAGTTTTTCCTTGTAGCTGTTAACTTAGCGGGGAAAAATTACTTCCTCATTTTTTTCAATTTTCATTCTATTGAGTAGTGTCTCTTACCAATTTTCCTGTGAAGTTACATAGTAAAATAAAGTACACCAAGAAAATATGCAGTTTGACTTGAAAAGACTTGACAAGTTACGATTGGCTCTTTCCATTTTTCCACAATTGGGAATACTTCAAGTGTTCTTTTCTAGTAAGCATTACTTAAGCTTTTTTCTTTATACATGTTTCTCTTTTATAAATGTAGAAGTCTCACATGTCATTTTAATTTTATGTGAAATTTAAGGCAATTTCAAGATTAAAAGCAAGAACAAACTAGTTTTCCATATATACACCACTTCTGCCTTCTTGCTGAAATACACTGATAAGGGTTTTCCTCCTGCCCTCTCTGTTACAAACATATCTTAGATTCATAAGCTCTTTAACATGCTCACTGTTAAGCATATGCAGAGAATCTGTCATTCTCTGACACCCAGGATTAGAAGTAGAGAATATTAATTTGTGGTACCCAGGACCTTAAGTTATCTTCCAGAAGTCTTTTGAAGTAATCATTAATCCAAAATATACCTGAAATACTGAAGTGTAACTTTATCCTAAATTATCATGTATAACAATAACATTTTGGGAAAATGTGCATAGATTTCTGAAAAGATTTACAAATGAGTTATTGGAATAAACTCTTATGAGTTGATGGATTTTTTATGGATTTGATTTAGCAAACAATGAAAATTATAAGCTATCAGATGACTATTGAGTGTACACAAATTATGGGGAATACACTATTTGGGATGCCTTGAAATTAAAGGAATTTATAGTCTGCAAAAAAAAAATGACATATGTATACAAATAATTTTATCACACGTTCAAATATGAACAGAACCAAAGAAGCTATAAAGTACTCTCAAAGAAGATAAATTCTTAAATTTGGCATAATTAGACATGAATTGATATAGTAAGTGACATTTCAACTGACCTGGAAGGATCTGTTGAAGTTAGCATTTGAGCTGAGCTTGAAGGACCTGTTGAATTTCAATAGATGGAAGTACTTCTAACAAAGGAAATCAGAGAGAGTAAAGTCACCAGAGTGGTCAGGGATGGGATAAGCTAAGGGAATGTAGAACCATGTAGTGTTGATCAAAGGAGGAAGTAAGAAACAGAAGGACCTTGGATGTCAGCTGGTAGTTGGACCAATGAAAATTTCAAGATTTTTCTCATGGGTATTTTTTTTTTTTTTAAGTAACTAGTGTAGAGAACTTGAGCATTGGCATTGAGTGGAGAGTATTTTAATAGGTCTTTTAAAATAAACTGGTTGGCATTGGGAAGTGCACTTTTATGATGGGTCTAGGAGTTAAGATAAAAAGAAATTGGTGAGAAAGTACATTTTGGGCTGCTTATTCAAAGACATACCTCTATTACAGACTTCTCTGTGAGCATAGTGATAAATTGTATTAATGGAAAAAAGTCATGGTATTGAAGGATTAGAAGAGCACATAAATCCAAATTTTAGTTCCACAGAATTGGCTGTATAGAATATAATGAGATGAAAGAGTGCTCTTGGCAGGTCAGTTCCTTTAGGGGAGGCTGAGGGTCATAGCAACCCCAAATAGCTATGTTTGATAACTGATGTTTATTCTAACGTTGGAGTCTTTGCTGGGTCCAGTTAGGATTTTTATCTTATTCTGATCTCATTGTTTATGCAGGAAAAGAATAAGATATATTTTTAAATTGTTTTTATGTAAGGTAGTACATGGAAGAGTACACAGTCTAGAAGGCACTGTATCATGGCTCTACATGTTTCTGCCCAAGGTACAAAATCTTTCCTTGAGATGACCAAGCCACTCATCCCAGGATTAATGTACCATTGCCCATACCGTTCTGGATCGTTGACTTTGTTGCAAACGAGTTTACTTCCTGAATAGTTGTAGAAATAGATTATGAAAAGTGGGGAGTGAGATGAAGGAGAAAGGGTGATCAAGTTCCTAGTTTTCTAGTCTATATAATCACTTACCCCATAAAAGTTAAAGACTTCTCTTCCCTTGAACATATATGCTATTCATGCTCATAAGATAGAAACACTAGAGCTAATGAAAATATCCATGACGTTATAGTCGTAGAATATGACCTTATTGCATATTGTGGCCTTTGCCTAGCTTTATACATACTACACTAGGCATTTAAGAGAAGCTGACTCAAGTATACTTTGATATTGTCATTGACCTGGAAGGATCTATTTGAGTGATTTACCCTGGAAATTATGTGAATTTGACCTGTTTTAGCCAAGTCCTGCACTTACTGTCTTTCTCTATATAGATGTATAATCTAGAAATGCTAAATATCAGTATTACATTAGAAAAAGAGAAATTTTCTTTAAGAAGGGATTCTTTAGTTGCCAATGAATTTTTGACATATAATTTAACTGATTATAAATGTATTTCTAATTGGTTTGGAAATGTTGGTGTGCAACCTTTAATTGCCTGTCACTAAACTGTTCCTTTAGAAATTCAACTCTGAAATCAAGAGAAAACTGGGCTACAATTTACAGAGATTTAATATAAGTGCATTTTTGGAAAATTTATTATTTATTTTTAGGCTCTTTATTTCCCCAGTCTTCAGGGAGGAAGTAGGGCAGAGGCAGTATTAATGTGCTGTTAATGAAGCTCATGAATCTGAAATGGACTATGAACTTCTGAGGAGGAAACCATATCTTGCTCTCTTATATTCCTGACACCTGGTGCCTGGCACATAGAAGGTGACCAGCAAAAGTTTGTTAACTGATATTGAATTATTGATGAAATGAATATGCATGCAGGTTAAACAAGATCTGCACTGCGCTCTGTCTTTGTTGGTAATATCAGTGGACTTCAAAAGGGAATATAGCTACCAGAATTATTTTGGAAATTAATTTGGAAATGTAGTAAGTATTACATTTTCTTTGCTGGAGTATTAATGAAGACCATAGGTTAATGGATTAGAAGTAGGTTATTTGGTATTATTGGCCTCAACTTTATCCACTCTCGTATTTTCTTAGAAGAGATAACTTAATGTGTTTAAAGTCACAAAGTAGGTATTCAGTGACTGTTGGTTATGTTCTATTCTCCCTGATCTTTATGAGAAAAAAAAAATGTTAGGGACCTCATGTGGATCTCTTAGTGCTGTTTTTCAGATTCCATTTATGACTCTTGAGAAAGAAACCAAATGAAGATGCATTAGAGACATTTCAGCCCCTAGAGCTGCAAAATCTACCCTAGTAACGTTTAAGCAACCACCTATTATACCTATAGTTGAGGAATTCAGACAGAATAGCAGGAACAACTTTTCTGTGCTCTATACTGTCTGGGGAATCAGCTAGAACACTTGAGAGCTAGAGGCTGGAATCATCCTCAGGCTTGTTCAGTCTCATGTTTGACAGTTAAAATTAGCTGTTGGCTGAGACTTTAGTTGAGCTAGTAGCTACAACACCTTCCCTTGTCTTCATGTTGCCTTCTTTACTGATATGGCATAGTGTTTGGAAAAGAAGGGTGCATTTTGCAAGAGAGAGAGAAGTAGGTGTCAAGTGTATCTTTTGTTATCTAACCTTAGAACTCACATAGGATTACTTCTTCTGTAATCAGTTGACCAGAGAAGTCACGAGTCAGCCAAAGCTTACCTGCCCAAGTTTATACAGTGTGGACGTAGCACCTCTTGATGGGGACTTTCTGAAAACACATGTGGGACTGGAAATACTAATTTAGCTGTTTATGGGAACATACAGTCTGCCACACAATATAATTCCTATGTCTTTTGCAATGGCTTTATAATTTTCAAGTATGACTGATAACTTATATTTCCCTACATTGTTTTTACAAAATAGACCACTTACCAATTCCCGGTACCTAGTTTTTTGTTTTTTGTTTTTTTTTTTGTAAAGTAATTTGCAGCTTATTATGTTATTTAGATGCTGAAATTGATGGAGGGAAGTTTAAATTTAAAAATAAAAATCGATTATCTAGATTTTTCCACAATAAACTTTTATTTATTTAGTTTGCATCATCCAGAATCCTGGGATATTTGTTTTTGTTTGTTTTGTGTGTTTTTTCTCTAAAACAGTTTATTTGGGAATAGCAAGGGTCTGCAATGCTGGATATGCATGCCATTGCAGACCATGGATGCATCTGTGAGGGGTTTGGAGTAAGGGGAAGCTTTTAGAGACAAAAAGAAGTCCACATAAGTTGTTTTGAAACAAAGATTATTGGTTACAGGGGCTTATTCTAGGTGGTGGTGTTTGTTACTTGGTGGTAATGCTTGTTGATAGTAAACCATGTTTCTCATGTGGAATTGTTAAATTGAAAGCTGTCTTTTTTTATTTAATTTTTCTTTTGTAATATAACAATCCCCAACTACATTATTTTTAAAACAATATTAAGTCTGCAGGAAATTTGCAAACTCAGTTCAAAGTTATTTTTTTTACCAGAACCATCTGACAATAAGATTTCTATATGATACCCTGTCACCCTCCAAAACATTGATATATATTTTGTGCACATGAGGGCATTTTTCTGCATAATCACAATACAAACCATAAAAATAAGGAAATTAACAATGATATATTACTACCATCTAAGTTTTACACCTCAATGAAGTTTTGTGAGAGCCACTAATAATGTCCTTAATAAGGAAAGGATCCAGTTCAGAATTATCAGTGGCCTTTATTTGCTATGTCTTTAGGCTCCTTCTTGAACACTTACTCAGTGTTTCTTAGATTCTCATTGTTTTGATGTTGTTGAAGGATATCGGCCTGTTGTATAGAATGTCCCTCAATTTGGGTTTATCATTTGTTCCTCATAATTGGATTCAGGTTTTGCATCCTTACAGGAATATCACAGAAGGGATGCTATATTCTGCATGTTGCATCTGATTAGGTGGTACGTGATTTTGACTTGCTTCATTATTGATGATGTCCACTTTAATCGTTTGATTAAGGTGTTACTTACAAGACTTCTTTGCTGTCACATTACTAATTTTACTTGGTAGTCAGAATTGGAAGCTATGTAAATATTTCTCATCAGTCTCTGTGTCTTTATGGCATAATACTGATTATCATGAAAAAAATTGAGTGTTTTCTTTTTGTTTTTGTTTTTTTTTCTGGAAAGAAAGGAGGCAGACAGATTAGCTAGCAAGACTGCCTTTCTTTTGTTTATGTAGGTCACATAATTTAGTAGCTAAGCTTGATTTTTGAAAGGAGACATTTCTTTAAAGTGCTCAATAATTTGTTTAAAGTTCTAGGGAAACGACAGTGTTATTTATCCTGTTAACTGAATGGCAAAATAAAGCAGTGTACTTGCTGTTTATCCTTTCAAAGACTTAGATTACTATTAGCTTTCTTGATTTATTAAAAGAAATAAGTATTGAGCACCTACTGCATCTTACACCTAGGAGAAGAAAAGTCTTGTGAATAAACTCACATGCTACAAGAAGTGTGGTAGGTGCCCTGTTGAAAGAACAGGTCTCACAGGGGAGAACAATAGAGGAGATACTTTGTTGTGATCTTGGTAAATAACTGTGACCTGAGGGGGAAGTTTCAGGCACCCAAGGCAGGCTGTATTTGGGGGAGTGAAGAGTAGATAAAATATTGGTACCTGATGAATCTGAGGCCAGGTTTCAATACTTTATCTGCTCTTCATTTCCCCATATCTACTTACTGTAGGTACGGCCTCATTAAAAAATATAAACTCTCTGAAGACAGAACATTTTGTTTATTTATTCTTTGATATGTCCCAAGTGTCAGATATGGTACATAGCAGCTGGTCATGGCTATCAAATAATCATTTATCAAATAGTGACCCAGAAATTAGGTGGGTTTCCAAGTCCATTAATCAAATTTCTTTTGTAACGTAAGAAAGATTTAGATATCATTTCCGTAGTGATTTTTTTTTTCTGGTGAGAGTTTCACCTCCGTTTATTATTTTTGTCCTTTTTTTCTATCTCGTGGTTACTTTCCATATCTCCTCAGTACCTTGCCATCATCATATCCTCGGGATGTCCCTGCTGCTTGTGTTCAGTTCCTTGAAGGTCTTAAGAACCTTGAAAATTTAACTTTTCAAAGTCAAATCAGGGTTTCAAATTTTGCTTACTTATTTTAATTGTAACTGTACTGGCAAAATTAATCAAGCTCACAATGAAGAAAAACCGATACTGCAGAATCTCAGTGGAAATGAATACACCCTTCTGGGTGCTTATTTCATTCTCCTGAACTTTCACTGTGTTGAAGGCATCTTTTGAGATTTTAAAAATAGAACCATTGCCTTGACATTGATCTCTCTATTGCTTCTGTAGCGTAATTGTAGTTTATACCCTTCTAGATGATCTGGGAAATCATTTGAGTTTTCTGAAAAACTGAAAACTAGATTTGATGCTGCATGTGAACATTTTTGGTACTACTTTTCATTTATGTATTTTAAACAACTTTATTCTGAAAAGTCCAAAACATAGTGAACAAATACAACTGAGAGAAAATATCTTGGTGCAGAATGACCTTTTTTTTTTTCCTTTTCTCAATGTGGATATCATTTCAGTCCATAATCTGTGTATTACTTATCAGATATCATGGCCAGGGAAGAGAACAGCATAATTTTTAGTTGACAAAGCACTTTTATATATTTAATCTCATTTAATCTCTGCAGTGTGCTTGTAAAGTATCGTAAGTGTTTTTAGAGATGAGGAAGCTGGGCCTCAGAGAGAATAGGTGGCATCATTAAGATCATACAGCAAATTGTGGAATTGGGGTTTGAAGCAAGCCTCTTGCCAAACAAATCAGTGAAAACAATGATTGGTGCATTTTTATTTTGAATGGTGACCTTTATATTTTCAGTGTTGTTTGTTGTTGTTGTTTAATAAGTCTTGGTTAACTATATTAGCAGTAGTCAGAGATCACATTTGATATCCCAAGATTTTTTTAAGAGCATTTGCTATCAAAATGTTCACTATCATTTTACCTACTAAATTTTGCAGAATGAAATTCTTTGCAACCCACCTGACCAAAGCAGAGCATTCTTTGTATCAGAAATATTAAATGGGAAAAGAGGCCTATTGATGTTGGTGTTGGGAATAAGAAAAGGAACTCCAACACCCACCCCCCTCATCTCCCATTATCATCTCTGTGTAGGATTCTCTCACAGTCCAGGCATTCTTTTCCTCAGAATGGATGGGGCCAACAAAGGATGCAGTGTTATAGGTTTCTCTACTGTGCTGGCCCCTTCTCAAGGCTCCCATTCTTGGAGGAGAGAAAAGAGTGGGTTTGGGTTGCAGGCTGGTATCAGGAGAGATCTGGAGTGCAAACATGACAGCCTAGTGTGTCCCCACACCTCAGACCTGTTATCCTCTCTAGAGGTCTAAAAGACTCTGATGTCCTCAGAATCCAGGATAGCAAGGATGGAGGTGGGCTTGCACCGTTCAACTTTTAATTATACTTGCACTGTTTCTGAAGCTCATTTTTTAAGAAGCTACTTACAATTTTCTTGCATTGGGATGTGTTTTACATTGGCCACAATGAATAAAAAAAAATTGTTTATTTTCGGATAGGGGGATGAGTATATTTTTAAGAAGGCATTACCCAATGAGTGTCTTCTTTAAAAGTTTCAAGATCTTGCTTTCCACTTCTTTGAATATTTTTTCACCATCTTCCATTGTTTGACATCCCTAATATCAAAACATTACCTGAAAATAATGAAAATTTTATACTTTGGGAGTAGTTGCTCCCCGAGTCTGACTCTGGTACATTGCTTAGCTTCTGTTCTGCCCCATCTCCAGCCTCACAGAGCCAGGCTGCTTTACCGGCTTAAGCTGGACAGTACCACATGGAGGGACATGGGAGGACAACAAGCCCCTCACTACATTCTTCCTGTGGTCCAGTCAAGGCATTTGGTATATAATTACTCTAGGATAAGAAATCTGGCAATACTAGAAACAAATCAGTGTCTATCCGGATCACGATCATTAAAATAAATGCAAATACTTAACATATAGCATCTGATTATAGGAAATAGAATGTATATTATCCATATTTCCTTATTATGCTACCTTTTCCCATAAAAGACTTCAAACAGATGACTTAATCCTACAAGAAGATAAAATGATTATTTTTATTGTAAGGTTGTCTTTTCAAAAGACATAGAAAATTACTTTATAGCTATAAACAAAATTACTTTATAGATATCTGTTACTTAAGTTGCATAGGAATGGAATTATTCATTCTGATATAGTGAGGGGAGTGCCTATGAGTGTTGCTGATTTCTGGTTCAGTATTTGGTCCCTTATTGTGATCATTTTCTTTTCAATTTGAAGATGTCAGTTTTTCCCCTATACCCATAGAAGTAGTCCGGGATTGGGCATGTAAGCAGGTTGAGCCCAGATGTCGCTCCATTCCTGTCCTGCCATCTAGTGGAGAAATGTGCATGCAGTGCTGGTCTACGTACAAGACGATGCAATTTCTAAATTCCTGTATTGAGTGAAATGGAAGGCTTATTCTGTACCTTATCCACAAATATTCATAACTTACTTAAGAAGTAGTAGTACTGGTAGTAAATGGCCATTGATGAGTTACCAAAAAAGATGGGTCCTTAAAAATATGCTAAGTATAAGAGTAACAGAATCCCCAAAATGAAAAGTAATAAAATCTAACATTGCAAATATAAAAATGTAAAATAAAACTCTTTGGTATTGGCACAGAGATGGATAGATCATTGGAACAGAATAGAATTCAGAAACAGACTGTGAGGGTGGCATTTCAAATAATTGAGATGATGAGATATTAAATAACTAATGTTGACAAGACTGGCTAACCATTTGGTTAAAAATAAAGATGGATGTCACTGTTACTCTTTCCTTCAGAATAAATTCTCATTGGATAAAAGATTAAAACATTAAAGAAATGATGCTGTAAAATTATGAAAAGAAAATATGGACCATTTCAAAGATAATCTTGAAGTGAGAAAAGCTTGCTAATAACAGTAAACCCAGAGGCCATTTAAAAAAAGACATTTATCCTTCCAGCAAACAAACAAAAACAGTTATAAGAAAATTACAAAAAAATAATATCTAAAGGGTAAATTCTAGGTTCTATTCTTTAAAATGAATTAAATATTAATGAAATATTAAATATCGACAGAGTCGATATAGACAATATGAAAACAGACTATATAGACAATATGAAAACAATTTGAATTTGTTTCTCTGATTATTCATGTGAAACAAAGGTTCTTTTCATGTTTATGCCATTAAGTTGTCTTCTGTGAATTGGGTGCTTTCTGGTTTTCTGGTGGTGTTTGTGGTTTTATTCCCCCTATTTTATTTTAGTGTTAATCCTTTATTATGTGTATTGTAATATTTCTGCCAGTCTATTAATTATTTTGTTGATTTTTAAAATGTCTTTTTAAAATTATAATTCAGTTTAACTTTTAGGCTGGGCGTGGTGGCTTGTGCTTGTAATCACAGCACTTTGGGAGGCCAAGACGGGCAGATCACGAGGTCAGGAGATCAAGACCATCCTGGCTAACACGGTGAAACCCCATCTCTAGTAAAAATACAAAAAATTAGCCGGGCGTAGTGGGGGCACCTGTAGTCCCAGCTACTCGGGAGGCTGAGCCAGGAGAAAGGCGTGAACCCAGGAGGTGGAGCCTGCAGTAAGCCGAGATCGCACCACTGCACTCCAGCCTGGGTGACTGAGCGAGACTCTGTCTCAAAAAAAAAAAAAAAAAAAATTATAATTCAATTTAACTTTTAATCGCTCTTTGACTTCTACTAGCGGAGGGATAGAACCTCATATTTTTTTCTTCAATCAGTAGCTGATTGTCTCTGTCATCATGTTCCATTGTCCCCATTTATTCAGATTTCCTTCCTTCTTTGTCCTTTAGAAAAGTTTTCATGTTTTCTTCATGTATATTTGGTATATTTGGTATATTTCTGTTAGGTTTATTTGTAGGTCTTTATGAATTTTGTTGCTATTATAAATGAATTATTTAGTCCAGTTTTAAAATTTGGTATTTGACCAGGAGCAGAAGATATTTGACCAGGAGTAGAAGTACTTTTACTTGTAAAAATGTTACATTTCTGGAGTTAGGATTTGTGTGTGTGTGCGTGTGTGTGTGTTGAACACATTTACCATGGAGTTTGTTTTCTAAGAGCTGTTATTAAATAAATTTGCTTTTTATAACTGGGTCTTAAATTCCAAAAAATCCTGTATGTTTATATATGGCTAAGATATCCTGAGGGCCTCCCAAACCACTGGACGATATCAGTATTCTTATCGTGAAGTTCCAATTTCAAAGTTTTGCCGTGAGTTCAGCAAATTTAAGATTGCTTCAACTTCTGGCTCTTGCATCTGTTCATGACTCCAGAACCACCTGCTTGTCAACCGAATCCAAAATCCAACCCCTTCAATGTTCTCATAAAGCATCCATCACACCAAATGTTCTGTGAATTTAGGCTGAAGATTAGAGATCATGGGGAGGGGTTACATTGAGGGACAGTAAGGCATCCACTTGCTCACTGTCTCTGCTCCAGCCTTTCATCTCTAACTCAGGAAATAGGAGTTTGCATGTCACCTTGGTTCCCACTCTTCCTTCTAAGCCAAGTGGAATAATATCTTCTAAAAGTACTGAGATTTTTTCCTGAAGGAAACATGATGAATATAATTTTTTCTACTCTTTCACGTATCAGTAAAGGCTATATATGGTGCTTACATACACCATGTGTATTCATATGATTTTACCGTGTAGCATTTATGTTTAAGTACATCTAACTTAGGACTGTACATAAAATTTTAAATCATTCTGCTCTTGTTTATTTCAATCTACGGATAACATTTAAATTTTCAGCATCTTACATATACTTGGTAAATGTAGCAGAATATAAAAGTTTTAATTCAAAATTGATATAGTCTCTATTTCTTTTATATACATATGTTCTTTGACTTACAGTGGGGTTCTGTCGTGATAAAACTATCATAAGTTGAAAATATTTTAAGTCAAAATGTGTTTAATACACCTAACATACCAACGTCATAGCCTAGCCTACCTGAAACGTACTCAGAACACTTCCATTAGCCTACACTTGGAGAAAATCATCTGCCAAGACAGTACACAGTTGTGTTTTGGCCATTCAACCTCATGATTACATTGCAGAGTAAGAGCTACAGCTCACTGTCACTGTCCCAGGCATGTGACAAGCCTTGGAAAAGATCAAAATGCAAAATTTGAAGTACAGTCTCTACTGAAGGAGTATCGCTTTCACAGCATCATAAAGTTGAAAAATCATAAGTCAAGGATTATCTGTATTTATAAATAGAGCTTCCTGGAAAATACAATGTTTTGGTAAGGTTTTCTTCCCTACCAGATAATGGTAGCCTATTTTACTTACTCAGTAGCTAGAAGGATGTACCTCCTTTCTGTCATCAGTCTCGGTCATGCAGTGACATTATTCGCTAATTTTTGAGAGACAAAATGTGGTCTCTCTGTCCCCTGCTGAGTACAATAGAGAAAGTTAATACAGATCTCTTTAGGTGATAAAATGAATAGAAAAGGGAAAAAGGGAAAGGAAGGAAAACTTAGGCTTAATGTTCCATTAAATACTTAATTAAGGGGTGCAGTGATGCCATTGTGACCATGCTTTTTTTTTTTTTTTTTTTTTTTTTTTGAGACAGAATCTCACTCTGTCGCCCAGGCTGGAGTGCAGTGGCACAGTCTTGGCTCATTGCAAGCTCCGCCTCCCAGGTTCTCCTGCCTCAGCCTCTCGAGTAGCTGGGACTACAGGTGCCCGCCACCATGCCCAGCTAATTTTTTTTTTTTTGTATTTTTAGCAGAGACGGGGTTTCACCATGTTAGCCAGGATAGTCTCCATCTCCTGACCTCATGATGCACCTGCCTTGGCCTCCCAAAGTGCTGGGATTACAGGCGTGAGCCACCATGCCTGGCCGTGATGATACTTCTTATTGTGCAGTACTCCTTAGCTACAAATCACGTTATGCTACAAAGTGGTGCCAAATGCAGAAGCATGGCTGACACAGGCATGGCAATAACTCTTCCTGAGCTAGAGACCTGCAGGGTCTATGAGATATAACTGTGGCAGCTCACTCTACACATTATGAACACAGAATGGGTCAGGCTTCTGCTTTCATGACTGCATTATGGCATAGGAGTCATCAATGCACAGCAAGTGTGTCATTCTTACAGTGGAATTAATGTGTTCCTCAACGTGCCGTGGCTCTATTTATTTTCCTATGGGAAACTGAAGCTGGGTGTCTTTGGCAAAGATTTATTCAAAAGGATGGCATCATTAAAAACAAGCTTGTGCCTATAGAACAAAATGAAGTAAGGATGGTATTTCTTAAAATGAACTGCTTTGATTTTCAACACAAATCAATCATACTGGCAAAAATTTGTAAATGATACATTAACAAATTTTTGCCAGTATGATTGATTTTTCATATGTTTAATCCACATCTTTTGTTTGTGTCTGCATACAAATTTTTTTCTGAACATGCATCAGTTGTCATTTCCAATTTTTGACCTTTTTCTGAGATTTTAAGCCTTTAGCAACTGATTTTTTAAGTTGTTTTTGTTACTTACAGATCTTACCAAATAAACCACATGTCCTCATTTCAGTTAGCATTATCAGATGAAATGTTGTAAACAAAAGCAGTTATTTAGAAGAAAATATCATATCCTTTACTTTCTAATTGTTTAAGAAAATTACTTAAAAGGTTTTTTTTTAACTGGGCTGTTAATAACACCAATTATAAACTACATTGGTCTTCGTAAAACTTACTGCCATGTTTTGATTTACAGGATCTCCAAAGATGGGTAAATGGTGCTAATGAACATGGCTTTGTCTTGGTGTCTTTTGGAGCTGGTGTCAAGTATCTGTCAGAAGACATTGCTAACAAACTGGCAGGAGCTCTGGGGAGATTGCCTCAAAAAGTGATTTGGAGGTAAGGTAATAATGTAGATTGTTTCTTTGCTATTGACAATCAATATCTCCTTGTTTAGTGCACAGGTCCCAGTAAAGCACAGCACATTGTTTCCCTGACAAGATTAGCAAGATGCCCTTGACTTTCATTTTGTTTCTTAGCTTGTTGAAATCTAGGAATTAATTCATAAGGCTCTATGATGGTTAAAGAAACCTCTGACCTATATAGCACAGAAAGAAGATATGATTCAGAATGACTTTTCCTTGTGTCAGATGCATACTTACATTTCCCTCAGAGTTCTACCCTCGTTTACTCTTTTATTATTTATTATGATTTTAAAAATTAGTTTTAATTGCATGCCTTTTTATATACTCCTTCAAATCAGTTTTGAAATGAGGAAGAAAATGATGGATTAACGAATAC
The DNA here is from genome assembly GCF_000001405.40 of Homo sapiens. Lineage (NCBI taxonomy): Eukaryota > Metazoa > Chordata > Mammalia > Primates > Hominidae > Homo > Homo sapiens. The sequence goes on from NC_000004.12 coordinate 114,664,540, forward strand.
CTAAAATACCGTGGACTCTTTTGGGCTCCCACTTTGTCTCCTTTACATTATGTTTTTGATTTATTTTATTTAAGAAACCTGGCCTTTAAAAACACAATCACGTACCATTTAACACGGTTTAAGACAGAACCATAGATTGACCCCAGCTTCTTTTGGAAGGCATTGCCAGCACATGACTGTCTTTGGAATTTCCAGCCCAATGCTGAAAAATCAGACGTGAACACTTTATTTAGCGTGTATTTATTGAGCACGTACTACCACTGTTGAACTCTAGGGATACAACGTCGGTCCCATAGTTACTACCATGAGTGGAAGAAAGTGCCCCTTAAGCCATTGCAAGTAGGCTTTGAGTAATAGAGATTTTCCCTTTATAGCAAATGAGTAAGGATTAGCTCCCACTTCTCCTGGCTGAACTATGCAGTGATATTTATTTTATTCTAACTGTTCAGGACTTTTCCCTTCAGATTCGAGTCCCATTGGGTTTCCTCTGTTAGGCTTAACCCCAGAAAGTACCTCTTCTGCTTCATTTAGGACAGTTTATGTCTATTCCATTCAGACTCTTTTGTCACCCTCTTAGTTGTTAAGCATATTTCTGTTTTATCTTTTAAAGATCAGGCAGGAAACAACCTAATTATGTGCTTCACCCCACAAAACTTTTATTTCTGGTGAAGCTAAAGAAGAGAACTTACTGATTTTTTTCAATACTTCTGCCTTCCCTCAGACTCAGGGTGTTAAGGATTTAGGGATATTGACTGCCATAGCAGTGGCAGCTCTCCCTGCTCCTTCTTGTTCCAGCTTCTGGCTGTTTGTGGGGAATAACTTCTAGTGTAGGTTTATTTGTTTGTTGTTTGTTTGTTTGTTTGTTTTTCCCATCTCTGTATGTGTATAGGCGTGAGGAACCAATGGAAAATAGATCTCTATGTAAGCAAATTATTTCTTGTTTTTCCTCCAACCAGTGAAAGTTTTTATTAAAAAGAAACTTAATCAAATATTTGCTGTTACCAAAGCATGGTTTCATTCTTAAGAATATCAACAAAAGATCATCAAACATTTATTTTAAATCTCATAATTTAATCAGAGAGCCCATACTATGAGTAAGGTTTGATTTTTAAAAGACTAATTGTCTGGTGTACATTTTAGGTTTTCTGGACCCAAACCAAAGAATCTAGGAAACAACACTAAACTCATAGAATGGTTACCACAAAATGACCTGCTTGGTAAGTCAATGATGTGTGGTTACTTACTTGGCTGTTAGGTTTTAATTACATAAATGTGACTTTTTTTTTTTTTTTACTTCAGAGGTTCATACGGTATACGGTATGTATGTAGTATATGGTAGAGTTATTATGTTTTTTATCCAGTATCTCAAATCTTAAATTTGAGGCCAAAATTTTAAGTCTTTATTTATTGGAAAACAGTTTGTAAAATGTAAACCTTTGGGCCTCTATATTAAAATTTTTAGACCAGCCATCAATTTTAATTATCTGGAAATTATGTACTTAATGAACTATATAAATTAGTAGTGAATAAGATTATACCTAATTAGAGTAATCAGATGAAAGTAGAACAGTTAAAACAATAAGAATGTAGATTTAGGTTACAGGTTTGTTACAGATGGTCTGAGAACCAAGAGAAATTAGAAGTTATTCATTTGTCTGAAACCAAAGAGAAGCAGAAGACCATGGGAACAGTCAATTTATTTTAACTTTAACTGGATTATCTGCTCTGTTTAGTCCTAAATCATTGGGCATTTTTGAAGCATTTTATATTATTTAATCTTGGGGATTTTGATTCTCAAAATTAAAATAGTAATTAGTATATGCGTATCTTTTAAGTGTGTTTTTTAACTAAATTAGTTTTTTAACTAAATTTAACTAAAAACCAGTAAAGAATTTTATTTATGTATATAATTTATTTTCATCTAGCTTATTATAATACTATTCTATAAATGCTAAAACTAAAGAAAAAAGAATACAAGGCAATTTACCTTTCTTGATCCTTGTATTTTTTTATTTTTAAATCTTTTATGGCTTTACTGTTATGACTTAGATTCCTTAGAAGATAGGAAAGAAGCAGGAAGTTTAAGTGAGATAACCTGACTATCAACTATTTCAGTGCGACAGTGTGACACTGTTATGTATGAACATCTAAACTTTTATTGTGTGTGGGTTTTCCATTTCTTATTGTTTTTCTTTTTTTCTTTTTTTTGACTGTGAGGCTCTACTGCAAGGTCCATGCCTGAAAACTCTCCTCAAGTCCATAGCTGCTCTAGGCTTCTCAGTGTGAGAACTCTGACTTTTTCAAGATTAGTATCTTTTTTAACAATAGGCACTATCCTTGTGAGTCCTCTAATAGCTTCTAACTATGATCAAAAGATTCTTCCGGGATGAGAAGTAGGAACCAAATCAATGTCTTTCCCCTCCCCTCGTAGCCGCCCCTCCTCTTTACACAGCAGCTCTGCTTTATTTAACTGTTGGGTTTGGTGGTAGGTTTTGTTCAAAGAGAGGGGTTTTTGCTAAAAATAAAGTTTGAAATCCACTTCTAGGGCAGATCCTTTAGTTGGACCTAAGAGTCAGAAAAGCCACTTGTGGGTAAGGGCTAGAGACACTGACTAACCAATTCCACCAGTCTTCAGAATGGAAGAGCTCTGGGAGCACCATTGAGACCATGGTTCCCATACATATTAATTTTGTACCTGGCACATGTGTATTTTAAAAGATCGACATTTCAGCTAGCTATAATTTCTTTCTGGCCAATAACATATATCCTAAGTACAATGTTTTTGTTTTGTTTTGTTTTTACAACTCTTATGCCAACTTTTGATCCCTTTTATAGAAATGTAGGCCATTTACCAGGAGAGTAAATCTAGGTTTTGAACTTCCATATTAATTTTGACAAATTATCTTTTTTATTCCCATAACAACTAAATGTTATGTGATGTCTCATGTCTTACAAATGATTATAAATGTTTACCTCTACATGTTTGAGCACATAAATGTAAAATTAAACCTTAAAATTGTGAAATATTAATGCTGATAGAACTTGAATGTTGTGAATAGTGATTACAACATTTCTTTTTGGAGAAGCACACAAACTCTTCATGGACTTCTGGAATCCAGCCCTTTTTTACATTTTTTTTAAAAAGTGTTTTTGACTTTAATATTGATAAACATTTGAGTAGCCAGAAAGTAGATGTCTGTTTTTTCACTCTGGTATTGTTTGGCATTTCTTGCTTTCATTGGCTTCATAATAATTATTGGCCATTTAAATATGTGTTGTTAGTCATGCAATATTTGTGTTAAAAATAGTAATATACATTTCAACTACTTAAAAATGGCTTTTAATTGATATATCAAAATCTGACAATTAGGTATATAACAAATATTTTAATTGGTGTAGAGCAGGAATCAGTGAAATTACACCTTTAGGAATCCTTTATCTGAAATGCATGTTTACTGTAGTGCCGATTTTTAATGAATTTCTGGGAAAATCTCTTCTGTAGAGTAATAATGTTGTAAGTTGTTTTCTTTTTCATCTTTCTTCAGGGCATTCAAAGATTAAAGCCTTCCTGAGCCATGGTGGTTTGAACAGTATTTTTGAAACTATATATCATGGTGTGCCTGTAGTGGGAATTCCACTCTTTGGAGACCATTATGATACTATGACCAGAGTACAGGCAAAAGGCATGGGGATATTGCTAGAATGGAAGACAGTTACTGAAAAAGAGCTCTATGAAGCACTAGTGAAGGTTATCAATAATCCCAGGTAAGGTTTCAATTAACATTAAAGCTGATGAACTTACATACCACAGTATATTGTCAGTAGCCAATTATTTTCAATAGATTGTCAATAAATTATCAAATTATGGAAATATCCTTTAGATTCCTGTGATAATGCTTTGTGCATGTTTTCTATTATTTAGAAAATGAAAACAGCAGTCATTTGACCAGCCATGTTATGACACCAGATAATATTCTGCAAGGATCTTCCAAACAGGGAGAAACTGCAATGGGAACAATCTTTGGATATCTACATTGTGTCAAATGTTATGTGCTTTATTTCATTTTCATACTTATAACAGCTGTATATCACAGTTTTTATTATCCACATTATAGAGGCAAGGCACTTGATATTCATGGAACTTGAGTAATTTGGCTTACACAGCAATTGTAGTTGAAATTAGAAGCCAGGACTGTCTGATTCCCAAGACAGTGTTCTTTGTACTGCATGGTAAGCCTGGTGTTGCTGGGTTTCCCTAGCACTGAGTATTGCAGAAATACGGAGATTTATTTACTCAGGTGAATGATGAAGCAGAATCTTTATTTTGCTTTTTAAATTATTGATGGGTCCTGAGTTAAGCTAGTTCACCAATGAGTCTCAAAGGGTGAAGAACTGGCCTGTGTAGTTTTAAAACAAAGCAGCAGTTTTCTTCATTTGTAGATATTATATTTAATTTACCTTGCATTTCCAATAGCATTAAATATTAGAAGCGTATAAGCTTTTTCTTTTTATGCCTAGGGGATATGGCTTAACACTGAGAAACACTTGAGAAACACTGCCACATTCTAAGGAACAACCAATAATAAGAAAAATTATTTCATATAAAAGGATGCAGCTTGCATATAAAATGCTGAATTCAACTGAAGTTCATTATGCTGCCTTTATGTGAGCTCAGGGGTGACCTTCATGCTCTGGACTCTTAAAGGATCCAGTGTCGGATACAGCTCTGCCATTGGAGCAATGTGTTCCATAACTAGGGTTGCCTAAGTATATCCCTTCTTCTGTTATCTATAGTTTTTCTTTAAAGGTGTGCTTTTCAAAACATGATGTTATTTCATATACATATATATATATATATATATATATATGCACACATACATATACATCATGCATGTATCATATATGTGTGTGTATGTATGTATCTATCTTCAATCTTTCAGGAAAGTTTGTAAAATATAGCCCTAAGTAGAATTATGGGGAAACAGTTGCAGAACTGCTGAAATTGGCTCAGATGAAAAGGAAAGAGCAAAAATCTAGGTTATTCACAGGAAGTTAGTCCAGCTGTGTTTTGCGAGGCATGAACCAGGCTGAATCAGAGCAAGAACAGGTTGCAATCTTAGGTCACATGGCAATTAAATTCCAGCTATAGAATATTGAAGACATGTAAGTGCTTAATTTAAGGATTATTCAATGCAGTGAATAAATTTATATCATTCCCAAAAGTATGCACATCAGATAATGAGTTAACTGCATGTAACTTGAAAACCTTAAATATTTAACTGAAAGGATTTTGTGCATAGAAAGATGTCTTAGTCAATGTAAAAATGCCAGTGATTTGTGTAGCATGTCCTTTGCTAAAAGTCATTATATAAACTGAAGTCACTTATCTTTGTTTCCAATGTGATAATATTCCACATTTAACAGGTGATAATTATTGAAAATATTAGTTTGCCTCACTAATATTGTGTCCGAGATATTCTAGTTTAAACCAAGTAACTAATACTGTAAAAGAAGTATTCCTTTTATGAAGCCAGCATTATCCTGATACTAGAACTGGGAAGAGACACACACAAAAAAGAAAACTTCAGGCCAATATCGCTGATGAACATCAATGTGAAAATCTTCAATAAAATACTGGCAAACCGAATCCAGCAGCATGAGGCGGGTGGATCACAAGGTCAGGAGATCGAGACCATCCTGGCTAACATGGTGAAACCCCATCTCTACTAAAAATACAAAAAATTAGCCGGGCATGGTGATGGGCACCTGTAGTCCCAGCTACTGGGGAGGCTGAGGCAGGAGAATGGCGTGAACCTGGGAGGCGGAACTTACAGTGAGCCGAGATTGCACCACTGCACTCCAGCCTGGGTGACAGAGCAAGACTCTGTCTCAAAAAAAAAAAAAAAAAAAAAAAAAGCTTATCCACTATGATCAAGTTGGTTTCATCCCTGGGATGCAAGGCTGGTTCAACATATGTAAATCTATAAGGTAATCTATCACATAAACAGAACCAAAGACAAAAAAACACATGATTATCTCAATAGATGCAGAAAAGCCTTTGATAAAATTCAGTATCCCTTCATGTAAAAAACTCTTAATAAACTAGGTATTGATGGAACATATCTCAAAACAATAAGAGGTATTTATGACAAACCTACAGCCAGTATCATACTGAATGGGCAAAGGCTGGAAGCATTCCCTTTGGAAACCAGCACAAGACAAGGATGCCCTCTCTCACCACTCCTATTCAACATAGTATTGCAAGTTCTGGCCAGGGCAGTCAGGCAAGAGAAAGAAATAAAGGGTATTCAAATAGGAAGAGAGGAAGTCAAATTGTCTCTGTTTGCAGATGACATGGTTTTATATTTAGAAAACCGCATTGTCTCAGCCCCAAAATTGAACTGAAAGGAACTTCAGCAAAGTCTCAGGATACAAAATCACTGTGCAAAAATCGCAAGCATTCTTTTACACCAACAATAGGCAAGCAGAGAGCCAAATCGTGAATGAAGTCCCATTCAGCAATCACTACAAATAGAATAAAATACCTAGGAATACAGCTATCGGGATGTGAAGGACCTCTTCAAGGAGAACTACAAACCACTGCTCAAGGAAATGAGAGGACACAAACAAATTGAAAACATTCCATCCTCATGGATAGGAAAAATGAATATTGTGAAAATGGCTATACTGCCCAAAGTAATTTATAGATTGAATGCTATTCCCATCAAACTACCATTTACATTATTCACAGAATTAGAGAATACTATTTTAAATTTCATATGGAATCAAAGAAGACCCCCTATAGCCAAGACAATCCTAAGCAAAAACAACCAACCAAAAACAAAAAAACAAAGCTGGAGGCATTACGCTACCTGACTTCAAACTATACTACAAGATTGCAGTAACTAAAATAGCATGGTACTGGTACCAAAACAGACATATAGACCAATGGAGCAGAACAGAGACCTCAGAAATTACACCACACATCTACAACCATCTGATCTTCTACAAACCTGCCAAAAACAAGCAATGGGGAAAGGATCTCCTATTCAGTAAATGGTGCTGAGAAAACTGGCTAGCCATATGCAGAAAACTGAAACTGGACCCCTTCCTTACACTTTATACAAAAATTAACTCAAGATGGATTAAAGACTTAAATGTAAAACTCCAAACCATAAAAACCCTAGAAGAAAACCTAAGCAATACCATTCAGGACATAGGCATGGGCAAAGACTTCATGACTAAAACACCAAAAGCAGTTGCAACAAAAGCCAAAATTGACAAATGGGATTTCATTAAACTAAAGTTTCTGCACAGCAAAAGAAACTATCATCAGAGTGAAAGGCAACCTACAGAATGGGAGAAAATTTTTGCAATCTACCCATCTGACAAAGGTCTAATATCCAGAATTTACAGGGAACTTAAACATATTTACAAGAAGTAAACAACCCCATCAAAAAATGGGCAAAGGATATGAACAGACACTTCTCAAAAGAAGACACTTATGTGGCCAACAAACATATGTAAAAAAGGTTAACATCACTGATCATCAGAGAAATGCAAATCAAAACCACAGTGAGATATCATCTCATGCCAGTCAGAATGGTGATTATTAAAAAGTCAGGAAACAATAGGTGCTGGTGAGGCTGTGGAGAAATAGGAACGCTTTATGCTGTTGGTGGGAATGTAAATTAGTTTAGCCATTGTGGAAGACAGTATGGCTATTCCTCAAGGATCTAGAACCAGAAGTACCATTTGACCCAGCAATCCCAGTACTGGGTATATACTCAAAGGAATATAAATCGTTCTGCTATAAAGACACAAGCACACGTATGTTTATTGCAATACAATTATAATAGCAAACACATAGAACCAACCCAAATGCCCATCAGTGATAGACTGGATAAATAAAATGTGGTATATATACCATGGAATAGTATATAGCATTAAAAAGGAAAGAGGTAACGTGCTTTCCAGGGACATGGATGAAGCTGGAAGCCATCATCCTCAGCACATAACACAGGAACAGAAAACCAAATACTGCGTGTTCTCACTCATAAGTGGGACTTGAACAATGAGAACGTATGGACACAGAGAGGGGGAAGAACACACACCAGGGCCTGTTGGGGGTAGAGGGTGAGGGGAGGGAACTTAGCGGATGGGTCAATAGGTACAGCAAACCACCATGGCACATGTATACCTATGTAACAAACCTGCACATTCTGCACATGTATTCCATTTTCTTTTAGAAGAAATAACAAGAACAACAAAACCCCCCAAAAGTATTCCTTTTATTAATCCACAACTTAAGTAAAATTACACATCTTACGTCTCTGTTTCCTAATGCTTTGGATTCATTTAATAAAGGCCTATTGCTTTTTTGTTTGTTTGGGAGGATTCCTTTGAGTCTGGAGCTTTTATTATTACAAAATAAGTTAGAAAGAAAGATGGAGAATCGATCATTATTAACTTCGCACATATCCAACCTGTGGTCAACTTTTAATAGAAGATATTTATACTTTTGTAAAATTTAATGTACATGTGAGCCCCTTACAAGGTAATTGTTTTATTAAAAGGGGCTTTATCTAAGAGATCTCTTGGAATAACTTAGAGGTGTCTGGAGTGACCATTTTTAATCACACTATTTTTTTGCAATATTCATATTCTTACTGGAAGGAATTTTGAGTTGTAAAATAAACTATGCTCATGGGACAATGCCACTACATTAAATTTGAGACCAGTTTCAGCATGGAAAATACCTGCCCCTCAAAAATTTATCTGTGAGTTCTCCAATATTCCTTTCCAGTTGATCCATGGACCTCCTCTGAACAGAATAGTCATACAAAATGAAATCGGTTAGTTAGCAATCCAGCTTTATAAGTCTACTCCTAGGTGGGACTAAGAGTCTGACCGATGAAAGTCCCTGTTCAGATAAGCTGAGTCAGATGTCAAGAGCTTTTCTGATAATTAGTGATCTAGGACCAAGTAAACATATTGGAGTTCCATATGAGTTAATAATTTATTCAAGAGTACAAGAAGTGAGATTTTCCATTAAAGCATCTGTTTAATCTGTTTAATCATCACTAGAGAAAGGGTTATATACACAGTGACATTAAGGTACCTGAAGACTTAAGATTGTTTTTATCCTTCTTTTCCATCTTTGTTAAAATAAAAGATTGGATTTTATTTTCTAAGATGTCACGTTTCATTTTTGTATTTTAAAGATACTCCTTTGCCCCATAAGCATTTTCTCATAAAATGGAGTAGTAGAAACTTTCTAGTTTCCCTTTTGCCATCAGTTAGAAATTATGATAAATTACAAAGCAACTGAGGATGGCCTTTTAATATTTGGTGAGGTTTTTGTACTTTTAATACAACTAGATTTATTATTTGGTTGTAATTTTCTTATGAGGCATTGATGAGAGAGAAAACGTGCCTGTTAATTACATACTTTTATGTAATAGCCTTCATTTGTTTTTTCTCTCACTCCTAACAACCTTCTGTTCACTGCCTCTCAATTTTTTTGCATAATTGTTAAAACTTAATGTTTAGGTCTAGAGTGAAATCATAAAAAATAAAGGCTCATCAAATCAACTCATAAATATCTGAGTAGATTTTTCACTGGGCTTTGTAATCTTATAGCTCCATCCTCACATTTCTAGTGGCTCTCTCGACCTTTCCTTTCATTACATCCCAAACTGTAATCATTTCCAGCAGCATGTCCCGTGTTCTGTGTTACTGTGTCCTGTTAATTAACTCTGCCATGTGAGTCATTCAAGCTGGAAACATTGCAATTACATATGATCTCTCCCTTTCCCTTCACATTTAATCCACACTTTTACCAACTCCTGCCAACTCTTCTACTACACCATTTCCCTTCCCTTTATCTGTCTAATCCCACCACCATTTTTTTAGTCAGTCTCTCATTGGTCATTATTGAGGTCTTTTTAATGGACTTTCCATCACGAGTATCTTCCCTCTGCTTTAACAGCCTGTCTCCCTGATATAATGGCTCTTTGGTTCTAAGAAAGAAGCTATTATATCTTGTCATTCAGAATACCCATGGGGAAGACTCATCTTCTTCCAATCTAATTTCTAACTAAACTTCATACTTTTTCCAAATGAATTTGTTCTGGGCATATTCTCAGTCTCCCACTTTTATGATTTAGTTTACACTCTTCTCTTGATTTATCAAGTCTTCACACATGTCCAATCTTTTGTTCCTCTATAATGCACAACTCAGTAGTGCTATATCCTCCATGATAGATTTTGTATCTCTTGAGGTGGAAATTATTTCTTATGTCTAAACAATACAAACTTCAGTCATGAATTCATGCAAGGGGGATTTAGCCATTTGTCAAAGATTGGCACATGAATGTGCAGTCACATGTTTTTAGATTAAAATAAAATGCTTATATTTTATCACTTTGTGATTCCCCATTTTCCTTGGTCTTTTAATCATTTAAGAGGGTGTTTTCTTTATACATATATACATGCATACATTACCTATACATATATACTGCATATAACATCAAATCTGACTTCATGGTGTTTCCCAACTCTTTTTTATCTCTTTAATAATATATCTTCACCCCATATTTAATGTTATTTTAAATTAAAACAAAATTAAATATTATTGCTTAAAAAGTGATAGAATGAAGTTCTGTATCTTTTTCTCCATCTTTCTTTTAGAATCTAATAAATTTAGTTTCCATCCTGGTTGAAACTTGTTGATTTATACTATTTAAAAGTATGTGGAGAGAAGAACTACATGTAATGTAGTGTGGAAACAGCATAGGGTTTGGAGTCAGAAAATTCTGGGTCTCAACTTTGTAACATAATCAAGTTAGTCTCCGATTTTCATTTTTCTCACCAATTTAAAATACATTTTATTGGGTTAACATAAGATAATGTGTTTAGGCCGGGCGCGGTGGCTCACGCCTGTAATCCCAGCACTTTGGGAGGCCGAGGCAGGCGGATCACGAGGTCAGGAGATTGAGACCATCCCAGCTAAAACGGTGAAACCCCGTCTCTACTAAAAATACAAAAAATTAGCCGGGCGTAGTGGCGGGCGCCTGTAGTCCCAGCTACTTGGGAGGCTGAGGCAGGAGAATGGCGTGAACCCGGGAGGCGGAGCTTGCAGTGAGCCGAGATCCCGCCACTGCACTCCAGCCTGGGCGACAGAGCGAGACTCCGTCTCAAAAAAAAAAAAAAAAAAAAAAAAAAAGATAATGTGTTTAAAGCACTTAACACAGTGCTTGTACATGCAAGGTACTTACTAAAGAATAGTTGTTTTAATTATTTCCCCTTTTTAAATGAAGATATGCATAAATATAGAACTTTATTATAAGCATCATCATTCTGTGTTTTGTCCCCTCTCCATAGCTACCGTCAGAGGGCTCAGAAGCTTTCGGAAATTCACAAGGATCAACCTGGTCACCCTGTCAATCGAACTATCTATTGGATAGATTATATTATTCGTCACAATGGAGCCCATCACCTACGTGCCGCTGTCCATCAGATCTCCTTTTGTCAGTATTTTTTACTGGATATTGCCTTTGTGCTTTTGCTTGGTGCTGCCTTGTTATACTTTCTCTTGTCTTGGGTGACAAAATTTATCTACAGAAAAATCAAAAGTCTGTGGTCTAGAAATAAGCATAGCACAGTTAATGGACATTACCACAATGGAATCCTCAATGGCAAGTACAAAAGAAATGGCCATATTAAACATGAAAAGAAAGTGAAATGAGCCAACAGCCCAGGTGATAGAAATAAATTGGTTCACTCATTGAATTTTTATTGCTATTATTTAGTCTAACAGCTACTAAAAGTAAAACATCAGTAAACAATTCTAACATGCCCTTATGAGATCTACTAATGAAATTCTGTGGAATTAAGATGGCTGTAAAAAGCACAAACCTAAAATGCAGAAATGTATTTTATTCAAATACTGATGTAGAGAGTTTTGGCACTGAACCTTTTAGAAGCCTTAATTATTTAAATCAATTCAGTGACTGTGTCAGACCTTAGTTTTAAATCTTGATATGTGCGTGTCCCGGATCAGGAATGGTTTCATTTTTCTTAATAATGTGTGTGTGTGTATGTGTGTGTGTGTGTGTGTGTGTTTGTGTGTGTGTGTGTGTGTCCTAATTAAGAGAATTTTTACTGGCTGCTTGTTACATTTGTTGAGGGTACAACACACTCAAGAATAAAGTAAAAGGATAGTCAGGATCCAGATGTTTCTTTTCTAGCATTTAATGTGTGTGAACTCAGAACACTACCATGAAAGAACACTTCCCCCCAAAACTGGATGCAGAGGAAGAAAAAAAAAAAAGAAATGGCACAGTTTTTTGTATTTTTTTTTTTAGTTATTTTTTGTTGTTGTTGTTTGTATTGTTTTTCTTTTCTGATAGAGTATGGCCACTTCTGGGGGAAAAACATGTAATTAAGTAAATGTATACATTGGTTTTCACGTTTTACTTTTGTTTTCCCACTACCAATAATTTTCCTCTGGAAGAATTTTATAGTTTTTTCTATTTCATTTTAATGAGTAACAATATGTTAAATGCATAATTAAGACAAAGCAATGAAATTCTGACTTTATTCAAAGTACTGAAGATTATTGCTTCTAGGGCATTTTTAAACAGCACCATTGTATTGTTGAATGTTTATGTAACTGATGGCTTTTCTATAATGTAATTTTTGAATGTTCAGGTGTTACATTTCCAAAGTTTAACTTTTAAAAAACCATCTTCTGATCCCTTTTATTGTCTGGGCCATACAATCTATATTACATAGGTGCCAACATTTAATTCTTTTAAATGGAACATTTGCAGTTTTCCATATTGGTACCTGCTTTTTCTGGAGAGGTTTGAGATCTTGTTAACAAATCAGACTTTACACTATATACAGATGTGACAGATAAATTGAACCACTTGTTTGTGAAAATGAGTTCCTGTCATCTTCCTCATTCACTCAGCCCTCACCCCAGCAGCCTTTTCCGGTCATTGTAGCTGACATGGAGCAGTGACAGTATTCATTTGAGAACAGGGATGCAAGTCACAGACATCATAAAATCAGGGTCTCCCTGCTGAAGCATTCACTAGTTGGCAACTATGAATTTATTCCATGTCATTCTGTTTACTTAGCACTTGCACTACCCTTGTTGGTTGAGTGTATGCTTTATTTGTTTCTAGTTTGAAATCCCACATCTGATAGCTGAGAGTAGGCAAATACAACATTTACCTAATGTCATTCACTAACATGGAAGAGTTGTGAAAATTCTAGAGTGCTGTAAATCCTTGGCATACACTATGACAAACAACTTCATTACTCTCCCACCAGGAGCTGCTCTCCTGCACTTAGAAATAATGTCACAAGTAGTTTTCTAATGTACAATGCAGACAAATGTACTGCTCTCTGAATACTTGAAGAAATGGTATTATACATACATAGAAACTTATTAGTTATACCTTTTCACAATCTTATTACGATGTTGCCGTTAAAAGGGAAAAAAGACACAGGCAATGAATGGTGGGATAGTAAGAGGACTTAGAGTGTATGAATGAGTTGATTTTACTTTTTTGGAATTTGATTAAGTTGACAGTAGGCACTGATTGGATGATTAAACATAAGTTAATCTCCACTGTGATAAAAACTTAAATAATAAACATGATTTAAAATAGAGAAGTGTTGTTGGAATAAAATTTTTATTCAGATTTTATTTCATAATATTATATATATTCATTTTAAACATGTTTCTAAGACAGGTCTCCCAACTTTTGTATGTATTTATGAGTGTGGAAACACGTGTTAAATGTGAGACTTTTTTTTTTATTGTTAAACAGAGGGAGTTACCTTACAAGGACATCGACATGGATCTTAAAATTCTGTTCCAGAATTCAGAATGTTAAGTGTAGGTATTTACTGATCATTGTTGTTTTTTTTTTTTTTCTAGTAAGATTATTGTTAGACAGTTTTGGTAAATAGGGTGATTTTTAAATTTTCCACACTTGGGCTAGATTCTATAATAAAGTTTTCAAGAAAGTATTTATTCATTTATTATTTAGAAAGAGTTTCTGCAACTATTAAAATATTCCCATAACTGGTTATCATCATGTCAAACACAAATGAGAATTAAGACATTTTTCCTCTAGAGTGGCAGCTTCTAATATCCCTCCACATACACATAGGGGCAGGATTTGGATGTCCAGGGTTGAAAAGAGCTAATGTTTGGGTTAAAGTAATAGTTTATGATTGAAGCTAGAGATTCTCTTCAAAACTCAGCTACTTACTCAGTCCCAAATGCTACTAAAACTGAACGACTCCACTTCAAAAATAAAAGGTTTATAAATGAAAGAACCAAAATAAGTTGAAGAAAAACCTCAAGGGATAATCCAACAATCTGTTTTACTGAA